>NC_000002.12:103550224-103853254 GCF_000001405.40 Homo sapiens
ACAGGCTTGAGCCACTGGGCCCAGCCAGAAATCAAACTCGTTCATTTTTAGTATATCATTTTCTTGTTGTATGCTATAGTTTTCTTAGTATATGTTCCTTTAACAAGCAAAAACAACCGCAAAATTATATAAGTGAAATTAAAACAAACACAAGAGTTGCTTTTAAAAGAAATTTGTAAGTAGTCTAAAATCACTCATTTGGCATCAGTATATGTGCATGACCATTACAGTGCTGTGGGATAAATAAGAAGGGACACATGTGGTTCCTGTCTTGAGAGGCTGTGACCTCTTTGGTATGCCAACATTTCAAGTAATTTGTGAAGAGTTCAAAGGTTAATTACTAGGTTTCAGAAGATGTCAGAAACAATGTGAAAAAAGTGAAAAAACAAAACCCTACAAATTTATGATTGACAAATCCTTAACATTTTACTTGAGGAAAATTGCCAACAATTAAAAGAAGAAAAGATTTTAATCGTATCACATTACAAGATAATTAAGGGCGTAGTTTTGATTAGTTGTTTCACGGTTAATTGGTTAATATCTTGTGAAATATTTCTAGATCTTTTTTATGTTTGGTGGAATTATGAGAACCTGGCACTTTTAAATGGAATTACCAAGCCCCTCTTTATTTAGTAGGAAAAACTTGGAAGTGTTGTTATGTTTCTTATCAATATAATTTTAATTTTATTAATTTGGTCTTGAGGTCTTTTGATCTTGAGGAAGAAATCTGTAGATTGCTTCCCTCTCTTGATAAGCCCCATAAGCTCGATCTCTGCCATGACCAGATGAAGTTTGATTTGGGTTTGTGTGTCAGGTAAGACACAATGAGAAAGTAAAACCAAAATGCCTAAAACAAGAAATTTGCTACTCACAGGTCTCAGAAAGGTTATTGGTGCCAATGGGAGGCTGAGGGAAAGTCTAGAGGATGCAGAGAGCCAAATTACTGGGTGGAGAGCCAGAAAGAGAAAGAGGTCCTGTGGGATTATAACTTTATTAAGGTCCATGGATATTATGCATTAGGCTTTCCCATTGGAAAACACTAGAAAAGGAAAAACTTATTTACATGACTCTGGTCTTGACATTTAGATTTTATTGTGGTCAACAGCTATGGGGTATGTTGGGTCTTGGGTCAGTGAGATGAAGATCAAATGGGCTACATCAGACGCAAAACAAACAAACAAACAAACATTTAACTACGCTGTTGGGGACAGAATACATAAATTTGTCTTCTGTCCCCAGAATACAAATTTATGACAAGGCTGTGTATGTAAACCTTATACTTCATATTTATATAATATTCTATGCTATGTGTGTACCCAGAAACATTTGAAGGGGGATACTAATAAATTTCCAAAAACAATTCATTAAAATTATTTTTAGTAACTGAAATGCTACTAAAAATGATAACACCAGAAGTGGATGTAGGCACCATGCTTCATGTATGGCCTACAGAAGTGTGAGCCAAATAAACTTATTTTCTTTATAAATTACCCAGCCCTAGGTATTTCTCTATAGAATTGCAAATGAACTAACACACGGTTGAATATATATAAACTTAGATTTAATTCTTTAATCAATTTTGATTTCATTTTTGTACATAATAAGAGATAAAGGTCTACTTTATTCTTCTTCAAATGGATATCCAATTTTCCCAGCACCATTTATTGAAGAGACTGTTCCTTCTTCAATGCATGTTCTTGAGAAATTTGTTGAAAATGAGTTTACTGTAGATGTATGGATTTATTTCTGGGATCTTTCCTCTGTTCCACTGGTCTATGTGTCTCTTTATGCCAGTCCCATGCTGTTTTGATTACTATACATTTATAGTATAATGTGGTCAGATAACATGATTCCTACAGTTTTATTCTTTTGGCTCAGGATGGCTTTGGCTATTCTGGGTGTTTTCTGGTTCTATGTAAGTTCTAGGATGTTTCTTTTCTATTTCTGCGAATAATTTCATTGATATTTTGACAGTGATTGCATGAAATCTGTAGATCACTTGGGCTAGTCTGGATATTTTAACAATATTGATCCTTTCAATCCATGAATATGGGATACCTTTCAATTTTTTGTGTACCCTTCAATGTATTTTATCAGTGTTTTATAATTTTCGTTGTAGAGATCTTTCACTTCTCCGGTTAACTCCTAATTATTTTATTTTATTTGTAGCTATTGAAAACTGGGTTGCTTTTTTGATCTCTTTATTAGATTATTTGCTATCGGCATATAGAAATGCTACTGATTTTTTAAATGTTGATTTTGTTTCTTGCAACTTTACTGAATTTGTTTATTTTTTCTAATAGTTACTTGGTGGAGTCGTTAGATTTTTGCAAATGTTAGATTACATCATCTGCAAGCAAGGATTGTTTGATTTCTTCCTTTCCAATTTCAATGCCTTTTATTTTTCTCTAGCATCTTGTGGCTCTAGCTAGGACTTCTTATATAAAACTTCTCCGGCTATTTTGTATAACAGTGGTGCAGGTGGGAATCCTTGCCTTGTTCCAGACCTTGGAGGAAAGGCTTTTAGTTTTTTCCCATTCCATATGTTACTAGCTTTGGGTCTGTCATATATGGCTTTCATTGTGTTGAGGTATATTTTTTCTGCACCTATGTTTTGTGTTTTTCTTTTTTTAAATCATGAAGGGATGTTCAATTTTATCAATACTTTTTCAGCATCAATTAAAATTACCGTATGCTTTTTGCCCTCCATTCTGTTTGTATGATGTATGACGTTGATTGACTTGTGAATGCTGAGTCATCCTTGCATTTCTGGAATAAATCCCACTTTGTCATAATGAATTATCTTTCATATGTGTTATTTAATTCAGTTTGTTAGAATTTCGTTGAGGATTTTTGCATCAATGTTCATCAGGGATATTGGCCTGTAGTTTCCTTTTTTTATTTTTATTTTTCTCTGGTTTTGGTATCAGGATAATACTGTCCTCATAGAATGAGTTTGTAAGTATTCCTTGTCTTCTATTTTTCACAACAGTTTGAGTAGGTTTGATCTTAGTTCTTCTGTAAATGTTTGGTGAAATTTAGCAGTGAAGCCATTGGGTCCTGGGCTTTTCTTTCCTGGGATACTTATTATGGCTTCAATCTCACTACTTATTATTGGTCTCCTCAGGTTTTGGATTTCTTCACAGTTCAATCTTGGTATGTGTCCAGGAATTTCTCAAATTCTTCTATGTTTTCCAATTTATTGGCATGTAGTTGCTCATAATAACCTCTAATGATCCTGTAATGTCTGCAGTATTGGTTTTAATGTACTGTTTTTCATCTCTGATTTTATGTATTTGGGTCTTCTCTCTTTTTTTTCCTAATTAGTCTGGCTAAATGTTTGTCAATTTACAAAAGAAAACAACTTTTGGTTTCGCTGATTTTTTATGTTTTTTTTGTTTAAATTCCATTTTTATTTATTATGACCTTTATTATTTATTTCCTTCTAGTATTTTTAAGTTTGGTTTGATCTTGGATTTCTAGTTCTTCAAGATGTATACCTAGGTTTGTATCTCAAGGTTTTCTACTTTTTTGATGTAGGCACTTATTGCCATAAACCTTCCTCTTAGTACTGCTTTTGTTGTATCTCATAGGTTTTGGTATGTTGTGTTTTCATTCTCATTTGTTTCAATTTATTTTTATTTTTTCTTAATTTCTGTGTTTTCTCACTAGTCATTCAGGACATTCATACTGTTTATTTTTCATATTTTCCAAAATTCCTGTTATTTCTAGCTTTTTCCTTTGTAATCGGAAAAGATATTTGACATAATTATATTTTTTCTTTAGTTTTTAAAGACTTATTTTGTGGCCTAACCATGGTCTATCCTTGAAAATCATCCATGTGTTGAGGAGAAGAATGTGTATTCTGCAGCCATTGAAGGAAATAATCAGTAAATATCTATTAGGTCCATTTGGCCTATAGTGCAGATGAAGTCCACAGTTGCTTTGTTTATATTCTGTCTAGATGATCTGTTCAGTGATAAAATTGGCATGTTCAAGTCTCCAGCTATTATTTCATTAGGGTCTATCTCTCTCTTTACCTGTAATAGTATTTGCTTTATATATCTGGGTGGTTTGGTGTTGGGTGCATATATATTTACAATTGTTACATCCTCTTGCTGAATTGATTCCTTTATTAGTATATAATGAGCTTTTAAAATTTTTTTTTCCTTGAAATCTAATCTCTTTTATTTAAAGATAGCTATTCTTGCTTTTTTTTTGGTTTCCATTGGCACGAAATATCTTTTTCCATCTCTTTATTTTTCACCTATGTGTGTCTATATAGGTGAAATGTGTTTCTTGTGGCAACAGATCATTGAGTCTTGTAAAAAATCTATTAAGCCATTCTATGTCTTTTGATTAAAGAGGTTAGTCCATTTAGATTTAATAATATTATTGGTAAGTTAGGACTTACTCCTGCCATTTTGATTTTTTGTTTTCTGGTTATTTTGTGGTTTTCTCTTTCTTCTTTTCTCCTTCCTGCATTCTTCTTAGTGAAGGTAATTTTCTCTGGTGGTATATTTTGATTTCTTGATTATTATTTTTTGTGTATCTGTTTTATGTTTTTCAATTCGAGGTTACTGCGAAGCTTGCAAATAATAGCTCATAACCCAGTATTTTAAACTGATGACAACTTAACACTGATTGTATAAATAAACAAAAGGAGAAAACTAATACAAACTCCACACTTTAACTTCAAACCCTCACTTTTTAAGTTTTAGTTGTCTCTATTTACATCTTATTGTACTACGTCTTGAAAAGTTGTAGTTATTATTTTTGATAAGTTCATCTTTAGTCTTTCTACTGAAGGTATGAGTAGTTTACACACTAAAGTTACAGTGTTATAACATTGTGTTTTTCTGTGTACTTAATTTACCAGTGAACTTTGTATATTCAGATGATTTCTTCTTGCTCATTAACATCCTTTCCTTTCAGATTGAAGGACTCCATTTAGGATTTCTTGTAGGACAGGTCTGATATTGATGAAATACCTGCTTTGGTTTCTATGGAAAAGTCTTTATTTCCCCTTCGTGTTTGAAGGATATTATCACTGGATATACTATTCTAGGATAAAAGTTTTTCTTCTTCTGCATTTTAAATATATTATGCTCTCTCTCCTGGCCTGTAAGCTTTCCACTGAGAAGTCTAATGTATTGTTCCTTGGTAAGTTGTTTGTTTCTTGTCTCTTGCTGCCTTTAGGATTCTTTCTTTATCCTTGATCTTTGGGAGTTTGATTATTAAATGTCTTGAGGTGCTATTATTTGAATAAAATCTGCTTGGTGTTCTATAACCTTCTTGTACTTGAATATTGACTTCTTTACCTATATTTGCAATGTTCTCTGATGTTATCCCTTGAATAAGCTTTCTAACCTGATATCTCTCTCTCTACCTCTTTAAAGCCAATAGCTCTTGGATTTGCCCTTTGGAGACTATTTTCTAGATCTCATAGGTGTGCTTCATTCTTTTTTGTTCTTTTTTTCTTTTATCTTCTCTGACTGTATATTTTCAAATTCCCTGTCTTTAAGCTCTCCAGTTCTTCTGCTTGACCAGTTTTACTATTAAGAGACTCTTTAGTATGTCAAATGCATTTTTCAGATCCAGAATTCCTGATGGATTCTTTTAAATTATTTCAATTTCTGTGTTAAGTTTGTCTCAAAGAGTTCTGAATTCTTTTTTTAAATATATCTTGAACTTCCTTCAGCTGACTCAACACAGCTATATTGAATTCTCTGTCTGAAAGGCCGCATATCTCTATCTCTCTGGGATTAGTCTCTGGTGCCTTATTTCATTTGCTGAGGTCATGTTTTCTTGGATAAACTTGATGCTTGTGTATGTTCATTGGTGTCTGTGCATTGACGAGTTAGGTATTTATTGGAGTCTTTGCAGTCTACGCTTGTTTGTACCCATTATTCTTGGGAAGGCTTTCTAAGTATTTGAAGGGACTTGAATGTTGTAATATAAGTATTTGGTAACTGCATTAGAGGGCACCCCAAGCCTGGTAATGCTGTGGCTCTTGCAGGCTCATAGAGGTACTGCCTTGCTGGTCTTGAGTAAGATCTGGGAGAATTCTTTAGATTACCAGGCAGAGACCCTTGTTCTCTTCCTTTAATTTTCCCCAAACAAATGAAGTCTTTCTCTGTGCTGAGCTTCCTGGAGCTGGGGAAGGGATGACACAATTATCCCTGTAGCCACCACTAGTGGCACTACAGTGGGTCAGACCTGAAGGCAGCACAACACTGGGTCTCACTCAAGGCCTGTGGCAACCACTGAGAGGCTACCATTTATGTTCACTCAAGGCCCAAGGGTTCTATAATCAGCAGATTTTGTGTACATCTTGTATACAACAACCAACAACCAGGCTTGTGTCCTTCCCTTCAGGGTGGTGAGATCTCCCTGGCCCCAAGTGGGTCGAGAGATGTCATCCAATATCCAGGATGTGGAGTCTTTCCCTTTTAGGAAGTGAGTTCCTTTCATGTCCAGGCTGTGTCTAGAAATGTCTGGGAGCTAGAGCCTGCAGTAGGGGTCTTGGATCTCTACCTGGTGCCCTGTTCTACTGTGACTGAAACCAGTATCCAAGTTAGGAAACAAAGTACTCTTAACTCTCCCCTCTCTTTTACTCAGGCAGAAGGCAGGGGTCTGTTCTAGAGCTGTGAGCTGTGCTGCCTGGAGCTGAGAGAGGGGTGACATAAGCACTCCCTTAGCCACAACAAATAGTGTCTCACTAGGTCACAGGCACCCCAAGCCCACTGGCTCCAATTGCAGCATTGCACTAGGACATGCCCAGGAATTGCCACCTGGTGGCCTAGACTGACTTTCAAGTATACGTAGGACATTAGGACTTTAGAATACTTTAGCCCACAATAGTGGGGCTTGCCAGAACTCAGGTCCTAACTGCTGGGATGAACAAGTTGCTTCTGGCTAGGGCTAGTTTGTGTGCTTCCTCTCTGGGCACAGCTAAGTTCTGCCGCATGTTGATTTCAGCTGTGATAGGATCCGTGTTGTGATCTATGATAAAGTCACAGATCTGTAATCTTGATCTCATCATCTGTGATAAGATCAGCTGTGATAAGATCCAAGATCTATGTTGATTTTAGTGTGATAAGTCAGCAATGAATGCCAATGCAAAGTCCCATTATCACTGTGTTCTCCCCACAAGCACAAAAATTCTCAGTCTGTGTCATGTGGCTGCTGCCAGGGAATGGGAAGGAGGTGGTGTAGTCAATTTAGACTGTCTTTCTTATGTTCTTCCATGCCTCTTTCAGTGATATGAATTCAAAACCAGGTACTATGATTGTTCACCTGATTTTTGGTTCTCAATAGTTCTTCAATTTGGTGTTCCTGTTGGGGGAATGTTCACTGGAGGCTTCTATTCAGACATCTTTCCTACCTTCTAAGTTTTTGAACCAATAGAAATGCCTTACCTGCTGATGCTTAAAAGAGAGAAATGTATGGATGTGCACTTAGGGAAATACACTTTGCCAGTTAGCCTCATGATTGAAACTTCTCTAATACCTCTATCATGTCATGGAGGTACACACATTTTAACTGTTTATATATTGTATTAGTCCATTTATGCTGCTAAAACAAAAAACCTGAGATTAGATTTATAGACAACAGACATTTAATTTTTACACTTTTGAAGGCTAGGAAGTCTCCCAAGTTCTGGTGAGGGCCACGTTGCTGCTTCCAAGAGTTTCTTGAATGTTGCATCCCACAAGGGAGAACACTGTGTCCTCACATGGCAGAAGGAGCAGAAAGGCAAAAAGGTCTAGCTAGCTTCCTCTAGCCCTTTTATAAAGTCACTATTCCCATTTTTGAGGCCAATACCTCCTAATGCCATCACCTCTTAATACTGTTACGCTACCAATTACATTTTAATATATAAATGTTGGGGACACACTCGGACCATAGCATACACTAAAGAGTTGCAGTGCACTTCACATACATGCTCATTACCATTTCTAAACTTAAAGTTTTCAACATTTCATACTGATTCCTTGACAATTTCTAGCAATTGTTTACAGACAAAAGTGACCATCTATATATTTATATAAATTTATTTATATAACAATTGGCATGTTAATTGTGTAGCTATTGAATCATATGATTTTCTATTTGCAATGTATCTTGAGTCTGATATATAATATAGTTGAACTTAAGTCTGTATCTGGAGGTCTTGTTTAGATAAAATTTTATGCATAGCCAAGCTCTAGTGTATTGTACAGAGTGTTAAGAATGGATAAACACATTTAAAGCAAATTTAGTAATTAACATGTAAATATATGAGCATAATTGATAATCTTTCTTGAAGTACTGATATAAATTCAAATTCCCAGGCACTACTCCAGACGTATAAAATCAGAATTACCACCGGCCTACCTATGAAAGACTTTTGAAATAGTATTTTATTATGTTTCTCAAGCTAATTCTAGTGCTTAACCATGTTTAGTAAATACAGTTTTAAATTGTGACTGAATTTCGAAAGAAGGATGTAATTTACACTTTGATGATATAAAAAGACAAAGAAAGGATAATTTTGTAAGGAGGCTATGTTATTTCCTTATAAATAAATTTTGTTGCCTGTAATCCCAGCATTTTGGGAGACCAAGGCTGGCCGATCACCTGAGGTTAGGAGTTCGATACCGGCCTGGGCAACATGGTGAAACTCCATTTCTACTAAAAAATAAAAATAAAAATATTAGCAGGGTGTTGTGGTGGGTGCTTGTAATCCCAGCTACTGAGGAGGCTGAAGCAGTAGGAATCACTTCAACCTGGGAGGCAGTGGTCACAGTGAGCAGAGATCACAACACCACTGTACTCCAGCCTGGGTGACAGAGTGAGACTCTGTCTCAAAAAAACAAAACAACAAACAAAAAACAAACAAACAAAAAAATTCTTCATGAATTTTTACTTTTACAATATTGAGAACAAGGAAAATAAAGTAAGTTTCTAATATAATATTAGATGAATTTAAAATAATTGTAGTTTAGGTAAAGAACAATTGAATTATTATTCTAAATGTTTAGTGCCTAGGGGAAAAGGTTAAGAGTTATCTAAAAATATTTAAAACAACTATAATAACTTTGTACAAATATTATAATAAAATAAAAATAAAATGTGGAGATAAAGGGGCTACAATAAAAAAGTAAAAAAAAAACTAACAGAAATGAAAAACATAATACCTGAAATTAATACTTCACTAAGTGGTGTTAAGAAAAATTTAATATATTGCATAATGAAAAGAAAGACACAGACATAGATACTAGAGAAGCAGATGCAGATGGAGAAAAAAAATAGAAAACTTTAATTCAGCCTTAATGACCTGTGAGATCATATTAATATGGCAAATATAAGTTAAATTGCAACCCCAAGAAGGGTAGAGGCAGAAAATTATTTGAAGAAATAATAGTAAAAACAGTCCAAAATTGATACAAATTAGAATAAGAGACACAAGAAACTCAATGTTCTCCAAATAGGATAAATATATGTACATGCATGGGTATATATGCATGAGGTATAAACTTTTAAATACTAAAATTCAATGAAGAATAAAAAAAAATTTAAGGAGGCCAGCAGGAAGTAATGTTGTAGTGGGGCAAGGTGCATTACATCCACAGGAAATAAAGATAAGAATGCCTGAAAATAATTAATCAGACGGTATGAAAAACAGAAGACTAATGGAATCTTTAAGATGTTGAAAGAATTTTAAATTAACATTCTACATGCATCCAGGGAAAAGTTCTTTCAAAACAGAAGATGAGGCCGGGCGCAGTGGCTCATGCCTGAAATCCCAGCACTTTAGGAGGCAGAGGCGGATGGATCATGAGGTGAGGAGATCGAGATCATCCTAGCTAACAGGGTGAAACCCTGTCTCTACTAAAAAAATACATAATATTAGCCGGGCGTGGTGGCGGGCACCAGTAGTCCCAGCTACTCAGGAGGCTGAGGCAGGAGAATGGCATGGACCCGGGAGGCGGAGCTTGCAGCGAGCCAAGATCGCGCCACTGCACTCCAGCCTGGGTGACAAAGCGAGACTCCGTCTCAACAAACAAACAAACAAAAACAAACACAAGAAGATGAGGAGTGACCAGGAAAACGACAGAGTAGGCACCTTCAATATCTCATTCCTACATAATAACATTGGAAACTAGCAGGAATTGTCAGAATCAACTTTGTCGGAAGTCTAGAAAATAGCCAGAGGTTTACAGCAACCAAAGCGTGTTGAATCAAAAAAAGGCAATTTTAAAGTGGGGGAAAACTTTTGCAGCTTTATGTTTACTTGTCCCCCATGTATGGTGGGAGTTCTGAAGGGGAAAATTTGGGTTCTTGGAGTGTGACTACGTTCTCTTGTTCAGGAACAATCAGAGCCATTTCTACTCACAAATTATTGTGTATGTTTTTTTCTTATCTGCCTGGAGACCACTTAAGGGATTGACAGAAAGTTCCCTTTCCTGTCTCCCCTAACTCAAATCTCAGACTGGAAAAGCGCAAAGATTGCTTGAAAACACTGAAAATTAACTAACAACCCACGGATGCCTAAGTGACAGATTATGGTCAAGATATACAATAGATTTTCTTACACTTGGAAGCAAATCCTTGGGAGAGTTACTTTGGGACATGCAAAATTCCCATATATGAGAACATTTCAAAGGTGATGCACGTGCACAGGGCAAAATGGTGCTCAAAAAAATCCTTGGAAGATTTTAATCTTTCACTTCAGGCTGATCTCTAGGCTCAGTGGAAATCTGGTTAACTGTTAAAGGAGTGCCCCAGCACAACGCCAGTGTAAAAATACTAGGAGAAAGTTGTTTATTTATTTATTTTTCAGCATTTGCCCATTAAAAGAAATGTCTGTGAATACACTAGCTAAACAAAAGACAAGGACAGATGCTTCAATGATGACACTTGGCAAAAGGGCTACAGTCTATGCAAAACATTTGAGAAGGTCAGAAGAAAAATAGATTACTACAGATTTCAATAGCAGTTATAACATTTTTAAGGCAGCATTTAACAGTAGGGGAGGGTGATGTATGAGTTGGTTCTCATGCTGCTGTAAAGAAATACTCGATACTAGGTAATTTATAAATGAAAGAGGTTTAATTGACTCACAGATCCACATGACTTTGGAGGCCTCAGGAAACTTACAATCATGGCAGAGGCACCTCTTTACAGGGTTGCAGGAGAGATAATGAGTGCCAGCAGGGGAAATGCCAGACACTTATAAAATCATCAGATCTCATGAGATCACAGCCAAACCATACCATTCTGCCCCTGGCCACTCCCAAATCTCATGTCTTCACATTTCAAAACACAATCATGCCTTCCCAAGAGTCTCCCAAAGTCTTAACTCAACCCAGCATTAGCCCAAAAGTCCAAGTCTAAAGTCTCATCTGAGACAACAGAAGTCCCTTCTGCCTGTGAGTCTGTAAAAACAAGAGCAAGTCAGTTACTTCCTAGATATAATGGGGGTACAGGCATTGGGTAAATACCCCTGCTCCAAAGGGGAGAAATTGGCCAAAACAAAGGGGCTAAAGGCTTCACGCAAGTCCAAAATCCATTAAGGCAGTCATTAAACTTTAAAGTTCCAAAATAATCTCCTTTGACTCCATTTGTCATGTCCATGGCATCATCCTTATGCAAGAGGTGGCTTCCACGGCCTTGGGCAACTCTGCCCCTGTGGCATTGCAAGGTACATCCCCAATCCTAGCTACTTTCATGGGCTGGTGCTGAGTGTATGAAGATTTTCCAGGAGCACAGTACAAGCTGTCCGTGGATCTACCATTCCAGGATCTTGATAATGGCAGCCCTCTTCTCACAGCTCCACTAGTCAGTGCCACAGTGGGGACTCTGTCTGGGGGCTCTGACCCCATATTTTCTTTTCACACTGCCCTAGCAGAGGTTCTCCATGAGGGCCCTGCCCCTGCAGCAAACTCCTGCCTGCACATCCAGGCATTTTCAAACATCCTCTGAAATCTAGGTGAAGGTTCTCAAACTTCAATTTTTGACTTCTGTGCACCTTCAAACTTCAATTTTTGACTTCTATGCACCTTCAGGCCCAACACCACCTGTAAGTTGCAAAGGCTTGGGGTTTGCAGCCTCTGATGCAATGGCCTGAGCTATACATCGGCCCCTTTTAGCCATGGCTGGGATGAAGGTTACCAAGTCCCAAGACCGCACAAAGCAGAAAAGTCCTGATTCCAGCCCATGAAACCATTTTTTTCCTCCTAGGCTCCAGGCCTGTGATGGGAGGGGCTGCCATGAAGTTCTCTGACATTCCCTGGAGACATTTTCCCAATTGTCTTGATGATTAACATTTGGCTTCTCATTACTTATGCAAATTTCTGCAGTGGGCTTGAATTTCACCTGAAAATGGGGTCTTCTTTTCTATCACATCATCAGGCTGCAAATTTTTTAAACTTTTATGCTCTGCTTCCTCTTCAGTGCTTTGCCACTTAGAAATGTCTCCTACCAGATACCTTAAATCATCTCTCCCAAGTTCAAAGTTCCACACAACTCTAGGGCAAAGGAAAAATGCCACCAGTGTCTTCACTGAAGCATAGCAAGAGTGACCTTAACTCCAGTTCCCCACAAACTCTTCATCTCCATCTGAGACCACCTCAGCCTGGACTTCATTCTTCATATAACTATCAGCATTTTGGTCAAAGCCATTCAACAAGTCACTAGGAAGTTCCAAGCTTTCCCACATCTTTCTGTCTTCTGAGCCCTCCCAGTCTCTAGGAAATTCCAAACTTTCCCAAATCTTCCTGTCTTCTTCTCAGCCCTCCAAACTGTTCCAACTTCTACTTGTTACCCAGTTCCAAAGTGACTTCCACAATTTTGGGTATCCTTCTAGCAGCACCCACACCTGGTACCAATTTACTGTATTAGTTTGTTCTCATGATACTGTGAAGAAATACCTGAGACTGGGTAATTTATAAAGCACAGAGATTTAATTGACTCAGTTTTCCATGGCTGAGGACACCTCAGGAAACTTACAATCATGGTGGAAGGCACCTCTTCACAGAGTGGCAGGATGGAGAATGAATGCCAGCAGGGGAAATGGAGGACACATATAAAACCATCAGATCTTGTGAGAACTCACTCACTATCACAAGAACAGCATGAGGAAAAATGCCCCTATGATTCAATTACCTCCCACCAGGTCCCTCCCATGACACATGGGGATTATGGCAATTATATAATAATTCAAGATGAGATTTGGGTGGGAACACAGTCAAACTATATCAGATGAATATGTAGTGTTCAGAATTATCACATTATAATATTCAAATATCTAATTTTCAAGAAGAAAAGTCACAAGGCATACAGAAAGAAAAAAGAAACTATGAATATATGGTCTATCAAAACACATAATATGTAGCCCCAGCTACTCAGGAGCTGAGGTGAGAGGATTACTTGAGCATGGAAGGTCAAGGCTACAGGGAGGTGTGATAGCACCACTGCACTCCTGCCTCAGTGAAAAGGATGAGACCCTGTCTCGAAATAAATAAATTAATTACTTAACTGGATGCATCCCTGAGGAAACCCAGACATTAAATTTAGTGGACAAGAACATTAAACAAATGTCTAAATATGTTCAAAGTTTTAAAGACAAATACGGACAAAGAAATAAAATAACTCAGGAAAATAATGTATGAAAATGAGAATATCAGTGAAGATATATAAGTAATATAAAGTAAAGGAACATAAATGCTGGAGGTAAAATTTACAATAACTGAAAAGAAAACAATTGCTAGAGCAATTCAACAGCAAATATAAGCAGTCAGAAGAAAGAATCACTGACTTTAAAGATAAGGCAGTTGAAATTACTCAGCCTGAAAGATCACTGAATTTGAAGATAAGGCAATATAAATCATTCTGTCTGAAAAGCAGAAAGTAAAAAGAATAAGAAAAGTGAAAATAACTGGGTACAGTGGCTCGTGCCTGTAATCCCAGCACTTTGGGAGGCCAAGGTGGGCAGATCACGAGGTCAAGAGATCAAGACTATCCTGGCCATCATGGTGAAATCCCATTTCTACTGAAAATGCAAAAGTTAGCTGGGCATGGCAATGTGCACCTGCAGTCCCAGCTATTCCGGATGCTGAGGCATGAGAATCTCGTGAACCCAGGAGGCGGAGGTTGCAGTGAGCCGAGATCACGCAACTGCACTACAGCCTGGTGACAGAGTGAGACTCCATCTAAAAAGAAAATAAAAAAGAAAGAAAAAATGTAAATATAACCTAGGTAACTATGAAGCACCATGTGGCAGATCTACGTATAAGTTATGGGAGTCTCAGAACAAGAAGAAAGAGAGGAATGGGGAAAAGAATATTTGAGAAATAATAGCTAAAAACTTCACAAATTGATGAAAGATACTCATCAATCAGTACAAAAAGCTCAATGAACTCCAATTAGTAAAAACTTAAAGAGACCAAAACCAAGATAAATTATAATCAAATTTTTAAAATCCAAAGGCAGAGAGATAATCTTGAAAGCAGAGAGAGGTTGTGAAAATTTTCTGAAAATTTTCACTACTCATCTGACAAAGGGCTAATATCCAGAATCTACAATGAACTCAAAAAAATTTGCAAGAAAAAAACAAACAACCCCATCAAAAAGTGGGTGAAGGATATGAACAGACACTTCTCAAAAGAAGACATTTATGCAGCCAAAAAAACACATGAAAAAATGCTCATCATCACTGGCCATCAGAGAAACGCAAATCAAAACCACAATGAGATACCATCTCACACCAGTTAGAATGGTGATCATTAAAAAGTCAGGAAACAACAGGTGATGGAGAGGATGTGGAGAAATAGGAACACTTTTACACTGTTGGTGGGACTGTAAACTAGTTCAACCATTGTGGAAGTCAGCGTGGCAATTCCTCAGGGATCTAGAACTAGAAATTACATTTGACCCAGCCATCACATTACTGGGTATATACCCAAAGGACTATAAATCACACTGCTATAAAGACACATGCACAGGTATGTTTATTGCGGCACTGTTCACAATAGCAAAGACTTGGAACCAACCCAAATGTCCAACAATGATAGACTGGATTAAGAAAATGTGGCACATATACACCATGGAATACTATGCAGCCATAAAAAATGATGAGTTCATGTCCTTTGTAGGGACATGGATGAAACTGGAAACCATCATTCTCAGCAAACTATCGCAAGGGCAAAAAGCAAGCACCACATGTTCTCACTCATAGGTGGGAATTGAACAATGAGAACACGTGGACACAGGAAGGAGAACATCACACTCCAGGGACTGTTGTGGGGTGGGGGGAGGGGGGAGGGATAGCATTAGGAGATATACCTAATGCTAAATGACGAGTTAATGGGTGCAGCACACCAACATGGCACATGTATATATATGTAACAAACCTGCACATTGTGCACATGTACCCTAAAACTTAAAGTATAATAATAATAAAATTAAAGAAAAATTAAAAAAAAAGAAAGCAGAGGGAGAGGTGACTCATCAAATACAAAGAAGCCTCAGTAACAGCCACTTTGTTAATAAAAACAATGGAAGACAAAGATACTAGGATAAGATATTTATACTACTAAAAGAAAACAAAAACTCTGCCAGCCAAGAATTCTATATCTAGCAAAAACAGACCTTTTAAATTAAATCAAGACTTTTTAAGAAAAACAAAAGCCAAGGGAGATTGTGATGAATAGACTTCCTCTACAGAAAGGCTAAAAGGAGTCTTTCAGGTTGAAATGAAAGGACACTAGCCAGTACTTCAAAATCATAAAATGAAATAAAGATGTCCAGTAAATGTAAACACACAGCCAAATGTAAATCAAGTATCATTATGCTTTTGATTTGTAACTGCTTCTTATTTCCTGCAGGATTTGAACAACAAGTGCAAAAAATAAAATAATTATAAATGTGTGTTATTGGGCACACAAAATATAAAGATGAATTTGTGTCAATAAATATACATAAAAGAGAAAGGGCTAACTGCATAAGAGTAGAATTTTGATTGCTATTGCTATTATGTTAAGTTAGTATCAATTTAAATTAGATTATTATAAAATAAGGATGTTTAAGCTCATGGTAATTACTAAAGTCTAAAAAACATACACAAAAGGAAATTAGAAAGAAATCAAAATCATTCAGTACAAAAAATTAAACACAAATAAGGCAGCAGTGGAGGAAATCAGGAAAAAAAAGTTTGAGACATTTAGAAAACAAATAGCCAAATGGCAGAAGTTAGTTCTTTTGGATCAGAAATTATATTAGATCTAAATAGATTAGAAAATAAAATTTGGAAAAACTGATAAAAACGATGATTCAGCTATAGATTTGTTTATAAGAGATGCATTATAGATAAAAATTACAGATAGATTGAAAATGAGATGTTGGCAAATGATTTGTTTATAAGAGATGCATTCTAGATAAAAATTACAGATAGATTGAAAATGAGATGTTGGCAAATGATATTTCATACTAATAGTAACCAACAGAGAACCAGGCTGGTTATACTAATATCAGACAAATAGACTTCATTAAAGATTATGACGAGACAAAGCAAAGGCCATTGTATATTGATAGAGAGATCAATTCATCAATAAGATGCTGCAGTTATGTATAAAATATTTATGAAACAACAGAGCCCAAAATATATAAAGCACATATTGGTAGAATAGAAAGGAGAAATAGACAGTTCTACAATAATAGTTGGCTATGTCAATTCCCTACTTTCAATAATTGCTAGAATGACTAGATAGATGATCAATAAGAAAATACAAGCCTGATACAATACTATAAACAAAATAAAACAGATAGCTGAAGCACATTCTATGAGTAAAACAGAATATGTATTTTTCTAAGATGCAGTGAAATAATCTCTAGGATACATAATATTCCAGGCCATAAAAAAAGCCTGGATAAATATAAAGGAATTGATATAATATCAGATATATTTTCCAATCAAAATGAAATGAAGCTAGAAATCACTTACAGAAGGAAAAGTGGAAATTTCACAAATATAGTATGCAGAAATTAACACTCTTGTAAACAACCAATTGGTCAAAAAATAAATCAAAATGGAAGTTATGAAATAGAGACAAAATGAAAATGCAACATGATAAAACATATGGGATTCAGTGAAAAGTCTAGTCAGAGCAGTTAGACAAGTAAAATAAATAATTATATGCATCTAAATGGAAAGAAAAATGTAAAACAATCCCTATTCATAGGTACCATGATCTTATATATATAGGTTTTCGAAGAATATAAAAAAAACTACCAGTTGTAATACATGAATTCAGTAAAGATGCAGAGTTAAACACCAACACAAAATCAGTTGTGTTTCAATATATCTGCAATAAACAATTCAAATTTACTATTAAGAAAGCAAATTAATTTGCTATATACCTAAAAGATTAAAATATATAAGAATAAATTTAACCAAACAAAAAAAGCGTGTCTTGTACAGTGAAAACTACAAAGTATTGCTACAAGAAATTTAAAAAGACTTAGATACATGGAAAGGCATCTCATGTTTATGGTTAGGAAAACGTAATTTTTAGAAATATATAAATACTACCCACAGTAATCTAAAGTTCAGTGCAACGTCTACCCAAATTCTAAAGCTTGCTGAGGAGAAATGAAAAATCTGATCCTCAAATTCATGAGTCCTGAATATGTAAAACAGACATGAAAAAGAAGAACAAAATTGGATGTCTCACATTTTTCCATTTTAAAACCTATGACAAAGTACAGTAATCAAAAGAGTGTGGTACTTTCATAAGAAGGTACATATAGACCAATGAGTTAGAATTGAGAATCCAGAAATAACCCCAGACACATGTGGCTAATTGATTTTTGGCAAGGGTGCCAAATTCATTCAATAGGGAAAGTGTGTTTTTTTTTCAAAAAGTAATGCTGGGGAAAGTGTATTTCAACACATAAAACAATGATGTTGGAGCTCTACCTCACCTCATAAACAAAAATTCATTCAAAATGGATCAATGACATAAACATAAAAGTTAAAAACATAACACGTTTAGAAAAAAACATAGAATTAAGTCTTCATAACCTTGGATTTGGCAATAAATATGAAACCAAGAACAGGAACAACAAAAGAAAAAGTAGATACACGCAATTCATCAAAATTAAAACTTTTTGTGCATCAAATGACATTTTTAAGGAAGTAAAAAGAAAACATACAGAATAGATGTTTGCAAATTATATGTCTTATAAGGGTCTAGTGTTCAGAATATACAAAGAACTTTTACAACTCAACAGCAGAAAAACAAAAAACCCAATTGAAAAAAAAAAAACTGGGTAAAAGACAGAATAGGTAGTTCCCCAAAGAAGATATACAAATGGACAACAAACACATAAAAATAATGTGAATGTTATTAATCATTAGAAACATGCAGATCAAAACCACAGCGAGATAACATCTCACACCTACTAGAATGGCTATAATTAAAAAAAATACATTCTACAGAGAATGTAGAGGAACTGAAACACTTGTATATTTCTGCTGGGAATATAAAATAGTGCAGTGGCTGTAGAAAACGGTTTGATGGTTTCTCAACATGCTAAACAGATAATTATTATATGACCCTGCAATTTCACTCTTATGTATATATGCAAAATAATTGGATATAATCAAACAGATACCTGTATGTCAATGTTTAAGCTCATGGCAATTATTAAAAATTGCCAAAAATTAGTTACAACCAAGGTATTTATCATCAGAGGAATAGATAAACAAAATGTGGCACATAGATACAATGGAATATTATTTAGTCATAAAAAGGAGTGAAGTTCTCACACATACTGCCATGTGGATGAAACTTGAAAATATTACAAGTAAATTAAGCCCAACAAAAATAACAAATACTGTATGATTTCACTTATATGAAATATTCAGCATAAGCAAGTACATGAAACCAGAAGTAGTTAAAGGTTACCAGGGCATGGATGAGCCAGAATTGGAAGTTATTGCTTAATGGTTACAGAGTTTCTGTTTGGAGTAATAAGAAGGTTTGGAAATAGACAGAGGTGATGTTTATACATTATGAGTATAATTAATGCCAGTGAATTATATACTTATAAATGGTTAAAATGTGTATGTGTAATGTACATATGTGTATATATATGTGTATATGTTTATGTAGTACACACACACTCACACACATATACACACATAAAGAAATTGCAAAGGAGTTCCTGAGAGAATGAAGATGAAGAAATCTAGTCTTGCCTGTGATACAGAATGAACACTGAATCTCATACGGAGCATATTTGTCTGGAGTCACACATATGGCCAGTAAATGGTGACACCCATTCTCCACACCCCCAGCCCAGTGCCCTTTTCCAGCCTACCATTCAGCTTTAATGATCGATTCATGATAAATCCAAAGCATGGTTGCTGCTTTCCACCAAAAGCCCCTTCCAACAAGCCCTCAGCATTTCATTTAAAATTCCAGCTGCTGGTGAGTGTGTAGAACACATCCTCCTTAACAATACTCAGCTAGTCTGGCGTGTGGAAATCATATTTCTGCTTTGAAAATTGCTGTCAACTATCCTTCCCATCTTTTGTTTAGAAAATCTTCAGAAGCTGTGTCTTGAATGCTTTTTCTCTTTGTGTTGTGAACAAAGGGAATGCTTGTTCCCCTGCTAGGTGACAGAGACATTAAGAAGAGAATTTAGTCACTGTACCCTTTTCTTTCTGCTGAAGGAAGGAGAATCTCTGGGCATCAAATACATGAATAAAAAGGAAAAAGAATAAAGTAATTGAAACTCATCAATTAAAAACTTCTGTGCCTCAAAGGACATCATCAAGAAATTGAAAAGATAATCTAAAACATTGGAGAATATATTTGCAAATAATTTATCTGATGCAGTAATAGTATTCAGATGTATAACTATTACCACTCAATAAGACAAACAACTCAATTTTAAAATGGAGAAAAGAACTTGAGTAACCATTTCTCCAAAGAAGATACACAAATGGCCAATAAACACATGAAAAAATATTTGACATTATTATTCATTAGTTTATTAGTTTCCTAGGGCGGTCATAACAAGGTATGCCTAACTAAGCAGCTTAAACAACAGAAATATATTGTCTCATAGATATAGAACCTAGAAATCCAAACTCAAAGATTCATTCAGGTTGGTTTCTTCTCAGGGCTCTGAGGAAGAATCTGTTCCATGACTTTCCTGGAGTGTGGTTGTCTCAGGTATTTCTGGCTGGTAGATGGGGTTTTCCCTGTAATTTCACATTCTCTTTCCTCTGTATATGTCATATTTTTTGGTCATAATTTCTCCTTTTAGTAAGGACACCAGTCATATTGGATTAGGGCCCATCACTTCTTATCCACTAGAATGACTATTTAAAAAGTAAAAGATAATAAGTGTTAGCAAAGATGCAGAGAAATCTGAACTCAAGTACATTGCTGGTGGGAATGTAATTTCACATTCTCTTTCCTCTGTATATGTCATATTTTTTGGTCATAATTTCTCCTTTTAGTAAGGACACCAGTCATATTGGATTAGGGCCCACCACTTCTTATCCACTAGAATGACTATTAAAAAAGTAAAAGATAATAAGTGTTAGCACAGATGCAGAGAAATCTGAACTCAAGTACATTGCTGGTGGGAATGCAACATAGCTCAGCACCTGTGGAAAACAGTTTGGTTATTGCTTTAAAAGTTGAGCATAGAATTACCATATGCTGTGTAATTGCACTGCTAGGTATATATCCAAAATAATTAAAAGCAAGTATTCAGACAAGTACATGTACATGCGTGTTATCAGCAGAACGAATATAATAGCCAAATGTAGAAACAGCCCAAAAGTCCATCAATGGCTGCATGTATAAACAAACTGTGGGATAAAGATACTATGGAATAATACACAGCCATAAAAAAGGTTGAGGCACTGATACATGCCACAACATGATTGCACCTCAGAAACTTATGCCAAGTGAAAGGAGCCAGACACAAAACTTCACATATTGTACGATTACATTTTATATGAAATGTCCAGAATGTGTTAAATCCATGGAGAAAAATGGCAGATTGGCAATTTCCAGAGGTTGTGAGGAAGAGGGGTAGAGATAAACTGCTTATTGGTAAAAGGATTTACTTAAGAATGATGAAATATTTTGGAATTATATAGAAGTAGTATTTGTACAACATTATGAATGTACTACATGCCACTGAATTTTTCACTTTAAAATGGTAAATTCTATGCTATGTGAATTTCACCCCAATAAATTATTTAGAATACTATTGGAAGTGTCCTTGAAAAAATGGCTGATTCTAGCACTTGAGTAAGAAATATATAAGATGAGCCTGGAACATCTTACAGTGTTAAAAAGTAAGTGCTAAAGGAAAAAAGAGGGATGTGAAAAGCACACAGCAGCCAAATGAAACAGCTGCTAGTGGCCAAAGCTTGAACAATTTGAGAAAGGAAATAATGTTGTATTGGAATATAATACAGAATATAAAATACATATTCATGAATCCATATTTGTTTAAAATGTGATTGAATATATAATGGAGAGAAAAGACACATTTTCCTTGCATAAGAACTCTAAATAATGTGTAAAACTCTTTAGATAAAGTCTAACCCCTCACTACTTAAGTATTGACTCATAATGTCTCTTTCAAAGTGTTCAGAATGGAAAGGAAAAAGGAGATTAACTTTAAAGTGGAGAAATCAAACAAAAAACACCTCAGCTGGGTGATCAAGATTAGTATCAACAGTGATAAAGGATGCTGACAGCGTGTACTCTAGATAAAACAGCACTTTATCTCTATAGTTATCCTCCTCAAAACCCATAAGTACAGCCTATTTCTGAGAAAACATTAGTCACATGTTAATTTTATAAAATTTTAATTTTACAAAATAGCTTATTCGTACTGGTCAAAACTCTCTAGGTCTTTTTTTTTTTTTTTTTTTTTTTTTGAGACGGAGTCTCGCTCTGTCGCCCAGGCTGGAATGCGGTGGTGCGATCTCGGCTCACTGCAAACTCCATCTCCTGGGTTCACGCCATTCTCCCGCCTCAGCCTCCCGAGTAGCTGGGACTACAGGCACCTGCCACCACGCCCAGCTAATTTTTTGTATTTTTAGTAGAGACGGGGTTTCACCGTGTTAGTGAGGATGGTCTCGATGTCCTGACCTCGTAATCCGCCCGCCTCGGCCTCCCTAAGAGCTGGGATTACAGGCGTGAGCCACCGCGCCCGGTCAAACTCTCTAGGTCTTAAAAACTCAGGAAAATCTGAAAAGTTACACAGCCAAGAGGAGCCTAAGAAGACACGGGGAATAAATGGTTTGGAGCCTTAAAAAAAATATGTATTAGGTTAGAAATTTTAAAAAATGAACAAATTATGGACTTTAGTTAATAATAATGTATCAATATTACTTTAGTAATTATGACAAATGTATTGCACTGTAGTATAATCTTCATAATAGGGGAGGGTGTGCAGAATATTGGAACTCCGTATTATTTCTCAACTTTTCTGTAAGTCTAAAATTGTTCTAAAACAACAAGTCTATTAAACAAATGTATGGGACAGATAAAAACAAACAAAAATGGAAGTGGTGTCAAAATTGTACTTTATGCTTCCGCCTCACTGTTCATCATCTTGGATTTGACAACAGGTGGAAAGGATAAAACTTGAATGCTTCTTTATTTCACAAGTTATTTTGGAAAGAAACATTTATATTCCATATGAAATTAGCATTATAATTGTAGACTTTTTCTTGGTAGTTGTGTATATGTGCATGCACGTGTATGTTTGTTTGCAATATCGCAGAGAAGCAGCACAACAGTTTGAACCTATCTGTCATACTTACACAGCCATGCACAAGATATTCATGCAAACCAATAAATATCAATCTAAGTTATACACTAAGATAATACACTAAAATAGATTTCACAGACTAATAAGGATTTAGTGCCTGTTATTGTAATCAACCCTTCTGATTTAATTAGTTACATTGTAAGTAAGGGGATGTGCAATAATTGAAAGATTATTCACATTCACTGTCCATGTCTTTCCTTGCCAAGTGGCTGTTAATAATTGCTACCTCTTGAGTGAGATGAAATGTTTTATTCCCTTACAATTTACGTTTTCAATTTTATTTTTCTGTACTATTCTAAGATAACAGCTTTCAGCCAAAACATTAAACTTTAAGTTATGAAAGCATTTGTGAAATAACAAATCTGCATTCAACTTTTTCCCTCCACTGCATTATTGCATGTCATAGTGTCATAATCTCTCAGTAAGCTAAGACATACTGTGAAACTTAGCTATCTGTTTATTGATGAATCACATAATCATTTAACCACAATTAGAAACAGAATAAATTGTAGCTGCTTCAAATTCTGTTAGCTCATGAAGATGTACTTGAATGTCAAAATATATTCGTAGGAAAAGAAAAAATAGCATAAGTAATTTAATTGAGCTGAATTTTTAGATTTCACTAATGGTTATAATCACTGTTGCACTGACAGCATAAGTCATTTCTGTGCACAGCGAGAAACCACTGGGAAATGTATTTTATCCATTATATGCCATGGTAATATAAATCTGTCCATACCATCCACCTCCTATGAGCTAATTCTCTTTGAAAACTTTTTTTTTACTGGCAAATTTCAAAACGTGAAGAGTTGTACTTTTAAAATCAATTTTCCTGGCACAAAATTTCACTGCCTTCAATCTACCCAGTACATAGTTTTTTTCTTTTAAGTTTTTTTTTTTATTTTTTAAATTCTATTGTACATGTGCAGGATGTGCAGATTTGTTACATAGGTAAATGTGTGCCATGGTGGTTTGCTGCACCTATCAACTCATCACCTAGGCATTAAGCCCAGCATGCATTAGCTCTTTTTCCTAATGCTCTCTCCCTCACCCCACACACTCCCCACACAAGCCCCAGTGTGTGTCCTCCTCTCTGTGTCCATGTGTTCTAATTGTTCAGCTCCCACTTATAAGGAAGAACATGCGGTGTTTGGTTTTCTATTCCTGCATTAATTTGCTAAGGATAATGGCTTCCAGCTTCAACCATGTCCCTGCAAAAGACATGATCTTGTTCCTTTTTATGGCTGCATAGTATTCCATGATGTATATGTACCACATTTTCTTTATCCAGTCTATCATTGATGGGCATTTGGGTTGATTAAATGTCGTTGCTATTGTGAATAGTGCTGCAATGAACATACTCGTGCATGTATCTTTATAATAGAATGATTTGCATTCCTTTGGGTGTACACCCAGTAATGGGATTTCTGGGTCAAATGGTATTTCTGGTTCTACTTCTTTGAGGAATCGCCACACTGTCTTCCATAATGGTTAAACTAACTTACATTCCCACCAACAATGTAAAAGCGTTCCTATTTCTCTGCCACCTTGCGAGCATCTGTTGTCTCTTGACTTTCTAATAATTGCCCTTCTGACTGGTGGAGCAATTGCCATTTTTAATAATCATCATTCAATGGTATCTCATTGTGGTTTTGATTTTCATTTCTCTAATGATCAGTAATGTTGAGCTTTTTTCATATACTTGTTGGCCTCATAAATGTCTTCTTTTCAGAAGTGTCTGTTCATGTCCTTTGCCCACTTTTTAATGTGATTGATTTTTCTTGAAAATTTGTTTAATTTCCTTGTAGATTTTTGATATTAGACCTTTGTCAGATGGACAGATTGCAAAAATGTTCTGCCATTCTGTCTGTTCACTCTGATGATAGTTTCTTTTGCTGTGCAGAAACTCTTCCATTTAATTAGATCTCAATTGTCAATTTTTGCTTTTGTTGCAATTGACAATTCTCAAAAGAAGATATAAAAATGGCCAAAAAATATAAAAAGTGCTCAACATCACTAATGATAAGGAAAATGCAAATCAAAACCACAATGTGATACTACCTTACTCTTGTAAGAATGGCTATAATCAAAAAATCAAAAATAATAGATGTTGGCATGGATGTGGTGAAAAGGAAAGGCTTTTACACGTTATTGGGAATGTAAACTAGTACAACCACTATGGAAAGCTATGGAGAGTCATTAATCAACTAAAAGTAGATCTGTTTGATCCAGCAATCCCACTACTATTTATCTACCCAGAGGAAAATAAGTCATTATATGAAAATGTTACTTGCACACATGTTTACAGCAGCACAATTAGCAGCTGCAAAAGTATAGAACTAGCCCAAATGCACATCGGTCATCGAGTGAATAAAGAAAATGTGGTATATATGTACCATGGAATGCTACTCAGCCATGAAAGGAATGATATAATGGCATTGGCAGCAACCTGGGTAGAATTGGAGACTATTATTCTAAGTGATGTAACTTAGGAATGGAAAACCAAACATCATATGTTCTCATTCATATGTGGGAGCTAATGAGGAAACAAAGGCATAAAAATTATACATTGGACTTTGGGGACTCAGGGGAAAGGGTGGGGGTGGTGAGGGATAATAGACTACACATTGGGCCAGGTGCGGTGGCTCATGCCTGTAATCCCAGCACTTTGGGAAGCCGAGGTGGGTGAATCAACTGAGGTGAGGAGTTTGAGAGCAGCCTGGCCAACATGGTGAAACCCCATCTCTACTTAAACTACAAAAATTAGCTGGGCATGGTGGCGGGTGCTTGTATTCCCAGCTACTCAGGAAGCTGAGGCAGGAGAAACACTTGATTCCAGGAGGCGGAGGTTGCAGTGAGCCAAGATGGTGCCACTGCATTCCAGCCAGGGCAACAAGAGAGAAACTCTGTCTCAAAAAACAAACAAAACAAAACGAAAAAAACTACACATGGGGTACCATGTACACTGCTTGGGTGATGGGTGCACCAAAATATCAGAAATCATCACTAAAAACTTATTCATGTAACCAAACACCACCTGTTCTTCCAAAACCTATTGCAATTAAAAAAAATTAAAAAATGAAGACAAGATAAGATTAATGAGAAAAAGGAGTGAAAAATGCACTACAATGAGTAGAAGTTTAAGTACCTTCCCTGTGTGTTAAATTAGAATGTCAGAAATCAACTCATGGAAATAAAAATAAAGATAGAATTTGTAATAGAGCGTTACACCTCCGGACTTAAAAAATATCATTGTAGATTTCATGTTTTCATTGGCTAAATAAAGTGTTACAGCGATATTCTTTTTTTTTCATTTATTTGCTTCCTGATAGAAATTGGCCTTGGGATTTGCTTATGATTGTCATTTTAGGGTTTTCTTCATTAAAAATTAAAAGTCAAGGTTTTCTCTTGGCTACCAAAAAAACCTTTCACTTGATATTTAAATATATATTTAAATGTATTTTCTTGTGTCCTTGCTGTCAATCATCATTCAGTTCTTACATTTTAACTCAATTTGTGTGTGCTTGTATGTGTTTTGTTGTTAGTAAAATTTACATAACATATAAATCACCATTTCAAAGTGTACAATTCATTGGAATTTGGTATATTCAAAAAGTTTCACAACTGTCCTGATCGATAAATTCAGTATATTTTCATCACTCCAGAAAGAACCCCTATTTGTATTAACAATATACTTCCAGTCCCACCTCCCACTAGCCACTGGGGACCACTAATCTATTCTCTGTTCCTATGGATTTGCCTGTTCCGACATTTCAACATAATGAAATCATACAATATGTGGCCTGTGGTGTCGAGCTTCTTTTACTGAGTATAATGTTTTCAAGGATCACTTATGTTCCACTACATATCAGTACTGCATTAATTTTTCATACCAAATAATATTCCATCCTATGAATATACTACGTACTACTTATTTATAGTTGAACATTTGGATTGTTTCTTCTTTGTAGCTATTATGAGTAATGTAGCTATATACATTCATGTACAAGTTTTTGTGTGGACATATGTTTGTAGTACTCTTGGGTGTATATGTAGTAGTGAAATTGTTGGATCTTATGGTAATGATATGTTTATGATTTGAGGAAGTGTGAAACTGTTTTCCAAATAAGCAGCATCATTTTGTATTGCCACTCGCAATGTATGAGGGTTCCAATTTCTCCACATCCTTGCCAACATTTGTTATTGTACTTCTTTTTAATTATAGCCATCCTAGTGGGTGTGAAGTGGTATCTCATCATGGCTTGATTTTGTTTCCCAGATGACTTGTAATGTTGAGCATCTTTTCACATGTTTATTGTCCATTTGCATATCTTCTTCGAAGGAATGCTTATGCAAATCGTTTGCCCATTTTTAAATTGGTTATTTGTCTTTTTATCTTTGAGTTGTAAGAGTTCTTTCCGTTACTGCCAATACCATTCCCTTATCAGACATATGATTCTTAAATATTTTCTGCTATTTTGTGGGTTGTCTTTTCACTCTGCTAATAGTGTAATTTACAGCATAAAAGTTTTAAATTTTAGTAAATCCAATTTATTTTTTTTCTCTTTTTACTTATACTTTTGGTTCTATATTTTAGAAAACATTGTCTAACAAAAGATAATGAAGGTTTCCTCCTGAGAATTTTATACTTTTGTCTCTGACATGTACATCTTACCTTTGTTTTCTTCTAAGAATTTTGTATTTTTATCTCTGACATGTTCATCTTAAAGGTGTTTTGTGTTACTTTTTGTACAGTGTTATGTAAGAGTTCCAACTTCATCTTTTTCATGTGAGTATCCAGTTATCTCAGCATTATTTGTTGAAAACAATATTTTTTCATGTTGAATTGTCTTTAAACACTTGTCTCAAAATAACCTGAACCAAACGTGTAAGGTGTTTTTTTTTTTTCTGTACTCTCAATTCTATTTTATCTATACTTTTATCTGTATGCCTGTACCATATATTGTCTTGATTGTTGTAGCTGCGTAGTTAGTTTTGAAATCAGGAAATGGGAGTCCTGTAACTCTGTTCTTTAATTTGTTTTAATGAAGTCTTTTAGTTTTTAATATAGGTATTGATTTTTTGGGAAATATTTCTTGTGAATATTCTAAATATTCTATTATTGGTGCTATTGTCAATGAATTCATTTCTTTAATTTTATTTTTATTTTATTCATGGCAATGTGGAAAAATAGAATTGGTTTTTAAAAATATATTTTGTATCTTCCATCCTGCAAATAAAGACAGTTTTACCTCTTCCTTTCCAATCTGGGTGTCTTATATTTTTGGACATAAAATACAAAGTTGAGTAGCATATTGTCTCCTTCCCCATCTTAAGGGGAAAGCTTTTTGTCTTTTATTATTAAGTATGCTTTTATTTGTGGGTTTTATTATAGATTTCCTTTATCAAATTAAGCAAGTTTTCCTCGATTCCTAGTTTTCTTTTTTTTTTTTGTCATGAAAGGGCGTTGAATTTTGTTAAAACTTATTCTGTATCTACCGAAGTGATCATTGTCTTTCATTCTCTATTCTATTAATATGGTATATTATATGATATTAATTGATTCTTGAATATTGAGTCAACCTTGCATTCCTATGATTAATCCTGCTTTTTCATGATTTAGAATCATTTACATATCTTGTTGGATTATATTGTCTAATATTTTTGAGGATTTTTGCATGTATGTATTCATAAGGCATATTCTTCTATGATGTTCTGTTCTTGTGTTGTCTTTATATGATTTTGATAACACTAGACTTATAGTTTGAATTGAAGAATTTTTCTCCCTATTCTATTATTTTGAAGAATGTAAGAAACATCAGTGTTAATTATTCTTTAAAAGTTTGGTAGAATTCACTAGTGAATCCATCTGGGTCTGGAAAACTTTTTAATTACTATTTAAATACCCTTACCTGTTTTAAGTTTACTCAGATTTTACATTTCTTGAATCATTTTCAGTAGTTTGTGTTTTCTAGAAATACATTCATTCTATTCAAGTATCTAATTTGTTGGCATATGTTTGACCATAGTGTGCCTTTGTAAGCCTTTTTATTTTTGTAAGGTTTGTAGTAATGATCTTTTTTATTAATAATTTTGTTGAATTTAGTTGTCTTTCTTTTGTTATTGGACAGACCACCTAATATTTTGCAAATTATATTAATCTTTTCAATAATAATATTTATGTTTTTCTGATTATCCCTATTGCTTTTCTGCTAGCTATTTATTTTTGCTTCAATATTATTTGCTTTCTTCTAATTGCTTTGGATTTAGTTTGCTTTTTTTTCCTGTGTCATAAAGTTGAATGTTAGATTATTCAAAATGCTTCTTCTCTTCCAACATTGCTGTTTAGAGCTTTACATTCCTCAGTAAGTACTGTTTTATGTTTATCTTATAAGGTTTTGGTTTTTGAGTGTTGCTTAATTCCTACATATTTGTAAATTTCACATATTTTTCCTATTAATTGTTTGCCATTTTACTATATTGTGGCTGGAGAATACATTTTTGTACTTTTAAATATTTTAAATTTATCATGGCTTGTTTTATGGCCTAGTATATAGTCTACCTAGGGGAATATTCTATGTGTAGTTAAGAATAATATTTATGTTGGGTGGAGTATTGTAGAGATGTCTGTTTTATCTAGTTAGTTAATATTGTTCAAGTCTTCCATTTCTTTGTTATCTTTTGTCTGGTTTTGCAATCCATTATTGAAAGTGGGATATTGATGTCCTTAGCTATAATTATTGAATTGTCTATTTCTCCCTTCAAGTCTATCAGATTTTCTTTCAATTGTTTTGGGGCTCTGTTTTAGGTCTATGTTTGTAATTCCCTATGGGCTGGCCCTATTTTCTTTGTTAATAGACTTAACACAATTTTGTCTTAACATCAATTTTGATCCACATTAGTGAGATAAGAGGTGAGGCTTAGACAAGGGACTAAATTATGGACTAGCTGAAACAGGACCAGGGCAGAAGCACCTCCCCATAGGACATGTCCATGAGTGTGCCATGTCAGCTTACCATTGCCATGGCAATAACCCCAAATAACTGCGCCTTTGACCAGACAATCTGGAAGCTACCACGCTCATCCTAGAAATTTCTGCATAAACTGACCCTTAATTTTAATACAATTAAAAGTGGATATAAATATGAATGCAGAACTGCCTCTGAGCCACCACTCTGAGCACCATTCCTATGGGGTAGCCCTGCTCTGCAAGGATCAGTACCTCTGTTGCTGCTGCATGCTGCTGCTTCAATAAATGTTGCTGCTTAACACTTCCATTTTGCCTTTGAATTCTTTCCTGAGTAAAGCAAAGAACCCTCCCCAGTTAAGCCCCAATTTAGGGCCTTGCCTGTCCTGTATTATCAGTATATCCAGTCCAGCTTTCTTTTGCTTATTGTCTGAATGGTTTATTTCTTTTGTCCTTCATTTTCAAAGTATTTGTGTCTTTGGATCTACAGTGTCTCTCTTATAGACTGCATATAATGGAGTCATTTTAAAAATCTTTTCTATTAATTCCTGTATTATGATTGTAGCATTTAATCCATTTTCATGTAATAAAATTATTCTGATAATTTTGCTATATTCTTTATGTCATATTTTTTGTTTCTATAGTCCTTCATTACCTCATATTTTGTGTTAAATAGGTAGTTTTATTTTAACATTTTAATTCCATAATGTTTCCTTTACTATGTCTTCTTGAATTATTTTTTCATGGTTTCTCTGGGGATTGCAACTAACATCTTAATTTATAACAGCCTGGTCAAACTCATGTCAAATCAATCTTAGCAGTGTATGGAAACTTTGCTTCTATGCTCCTCTCCCATGTTCCTTTATGCTATTATTGCCATATACATTTTATCTTTATATATATGTCCCCCCCCACACACACACATACACACACGCACACACTTTATTGTTTTACGCAGTTCCCTTTTATATCACATAGAAGGAAAAAAATGTTCCTGAACAATAAATTTATTTATACTGATTTTCTGTTTTCCTATTTAGTTAATTTTATTGATGCTGTGTGTTTCTCCATATGCATTCAACTTACTGTTTAGTGTCCTTTCACTTCAGTGTGAAGTCCTTCACTGTAAGACTCTCAGTATTTATTATAGGGCATTTGTGCTAGGGATGAGTTCTCTCAGTTTTTATTTATCTGGCAATGTCTTGGATTTTTCTTCATTTTTGAAGGACAGGGTTCTGTATGAAAATTTTGGTTCACACTCTGCTTTGAGTTCTTTGAACATATACTAAATGCAGGTGAAAACTCAGGGTCATATGGGGGCTTTTCTGGGCATGCACAGAACCATGGCACGTACGCAATCTTGAGCATGCGCGTGGTCTTCTAGAGTCCCTGGAATATGCCAGGGTTTTCAGAACCTCCTGTGGACATCTCATTCCCAAGCCTTTTGTTTTCAGAATTTTTGGCCAGATATTTATTTGTCCCAGCTGTTGTCACCACTTCAGATGGCTACAGTGTTAAAATATTGCCACTGGATGTTTTCAGCAAATGCTTCTTGGATAAAGCCTATTCACATTGTGTGAGCACTAAGTCAAGTCAAATAAAGACCAGCCCTGCAAGTAGGTTTTCCCAGGAAACTGTGAGATGAGTGGAATGATGAAAATTATCTTGGAAGGAGCTTTTCAAGGGGCACCAAACTCCTTCTTTTCCCTCTAGTGATTGTTAGGCTACTGGTTTCCAACATGGTTTGGAGACTATTAGTTTTTAAGGGTACTGTGGAATGGGGAGGGGAAAAGGGAATAAGGTTTGTTAAAAGGCTGTTCCTACCATTAACTAATGAAGTTAACCAATAAACAAATCTTGCCATTCTTCTTGTGATTCAGACATTTGTTTTGAACAAGTGCTCCTCCTTGAATTGTTGGTAATATTTGCTTCATTTCCAAAGTTCTGAAAATATTAATTTTTAACAGTTTTTCCTGTTTGTCATTGCTTTTGTACAGAAGTGGATCTTTGGAGGTTCTCACTCTGCTATTCCCACTGGTGTGCATGTGTGCATGTGTGTGTATGTTACACTTCTTTATAGTTTTAGAATGATAATATCCTAGAATATTAATTTTGGTTCTTTTTTTGCATCTCTCATGTTAGTTTCATCTATTAGAACAAAACATCCACATTGCTCAAAGAGAAGTCGAATCATTGCAGTATAGTAAAGTGAGTAAAAAAGGTTTCATCTATATGTATTTTTCTAATTTTAAAGAATAATTTAAAAATCTAATGATAAGGCCTGTTAGATGCAGAGATCAATCTATACCAGTTGAATTTGAGACAGAAGAATGGATAAGACATTAAAGCCCACTCTGGGAATTATAGAAAAGCTTAGGAAATGTATTTGTCCTGGATAGGTTGGGGCCTAGATGAAAGGGCCCAACTTGTTGGTCATCAGGGAAGAATAGTATGATTCATTGCATAAATTAGGAGGGTAGGGCCAAGGGTAGGGACTTTTATCAACATTTAAGGGAGCCTCCCTAAATTTAGGATAAAATAGCATAAAATAAAATTGTCCCACATACAGAGAAGTAGAAAAAAATATGAGTCAAAATCATAATAAAAGGAAATCAGTAGAAAGAGAACTCAATATGATCCAGGTGTCAGAATTAAAAGAGAAGAACTTAAACTATCAATTATATATTCAAAGTGATAAAAATAACCATAATAAGTAAATGGATGGGAGCTATCAAAATGGAAATGAAAATTTTCACAAAGAATCAGCCTAAAATCCTACAACCAAACCATGTAATACTTGATGTGTTATATGTTAAATTTAAATTAAGTTTAGTTTGGTTATATATCTTGATTAAACTGTGAAGGTTCCTGAACACACAAAGTGAATATAAGAATACTCATTAATCCGTGAAATTTATTTCTTCCTTCTTTTCCTTCCTCCCTCCCTTTCTCCTTCCCTCCCTTCTTCTCAGTTTTCCTTCCTTTCTTTCTCTATCTCCAGTTGTTCTTCTCAACCAAAATCTCTTGTAATTCCCAAAACAATATTTTATTATGATGTCGATATTTTCAATTTAATATTGTTCCTCTACATTTTTGTTCAATTAATATTCTTTCCTCTAAATTTTACTCCTTTTGCAGCATAATATTCATATATTATTGCCCTATGAAATAGTCTGAATTTTAACATTGACTTATAACTGGTATTTTATCCTGTTTCTTCTTTGGATGTAGCTAATGGGGGTAATGGAGAAGGAATGTCCTCGCAGAGCATGATTCATGGAAAACATTCCACTGGACAGCCTTAGCATTCACATGTGGAAGATACGAAACAGTCTTTTTTCCAAAGAGGGATTCTGAGTCTTCTAACAATAAATCTGCTTCATTTATTATGACTAAAGCTAATTATTGCAAATAGGATTTTTTTTCCATATTGGGGCAAACAATTGTTGGAGACTATAGTTTAATAAATTATGAATATAGTGGTTCAAATACAATAGTGTTCTTTTACTTAATATTAGAGTTCTAAATGATTTAAAATCAATAGAGTGAAAAATTAATATATTTTCAAAATCCTAGAAAATGTAGTTTTCCATAAATGTCTAAAAATATGTTATCTTTGTAATTGTATACATATAGTAATTTCATTTAAAAATTTAGTCATATCACTCACATAAAAATAATAACTTCAACCTAGACAATTTTATATTCTTATGAATATTTAGTCAAGAAGTTAGAGCCTATTGAACAGATACCCAGTATCCCCTTTCTCTCCCCATTCCCTTCAGTTTATGTAAAACTGTAATCTCCACGGTTTCAGGAATATTATCTTGTTCATTACAGTGGGTTTCAGAGAACTGTAAGCATAACAAGTGCTTGTTAACATGTATTAATGACTGGTTTTATTTTGTTAGGCACCCTCATCAAATACTGATTAGCCAAATAGAGTTATATCCAGATTTATGCTAATAAAAATAAATTTTTAACAACCTACTTCCTGCTAAATTTATTTTCTTTTTTCTACTAAATATGTTTTAAAATAATATGTTTAAACTCATATGCGTAATTTACATTTAAAGCTTCTAAACTGTGAAGAACGTTTTGATAATGTTTGTAGTACATATTTTGTAAACCTATTTTGCAATCAGCTGACTGATAATCTGCTAACTTTTTACAGTATGACAGATCTTTAATTCTTAGTATCTATAGGAAGCACTATTGTGCATGTTTTTATATTTTTTGTGGATGTTTTTATAGTTTTAGAAGTGATAAAGTTGAAATTTATCTAAGCTCTAATTGAAAAAGGCACCAAAGACCAATGAATGAATTAACTTTACAATCATGATTCTTTTTTCTGTTTTGTCTCTTCTCATACAAGTCTGCAGAGCTGAATTTTTTATAATGTGTTGTGTTAGGCAGGTTGTACTTAAACTTTCACTTTTAAAAATATTTAAATATTTTAACTGAGCAGACATGCCTTTGCAATCAGAAGGTAGGACAAATGTCTTTTTCAGTTTAAAAAAATTACGGCAATTTACCTATGAGAAGTTTCCAAGCCTTAGTCAAAAATATTTGTTTTAAAGTCTGTGGACGCAGTAGAAAATAGGAGACATTATAGTAGTATTAATTTCTTGGCCAAGTTAGAAGACAAGCTGAGGTACTAATTCAGAATAGTGGGAAAAGTAGTTCACCAAAATAGCAAAGGTTTAGGGAAAATTTAACGCAAACTTCCAATAAAAACCATTCTTAATTGAAATTTAAAACTTGTAAAATCATTTTGATAGTTACAAATTTAAAACTTACAAGGTAATGTAAACAAAAATGTACAAAGAAGCCAAATATACTGTTTACCCAAGTCATCTTGTAATTGGCATTTTCTTAAATTATTACATCAGTAAGATTTATATATTTTTTTGAAAATAAAGGTATATGAATGATGGCCGTGTGTGGTGGCTCATGCCTGTAATCCCAGCACTTTTAGAGGCAGAGGTGAGGGGATTACTTGAGTCCGGGAGTTCAAGATCAGACTGGGCAACATGGCGAAATCCTGCTTCTACTAAAAATAAAGAAATTAGGCTGGCGTGGTGGCGCATGCCTGTAGTCTCAGGTTCTTGGTTAAACCTGGGAGATGAAGGTTGCAGTGAGTCAAGATCTTGCCACTGCAGTGACAGAGCAAAACCTTCTCCAAAAGAAAGAAAAAGTATATGAATGAAACATTTTGAAAGATAGAAGGTAGGCTGGGAACGGTGGCTCATGCCTGTAATCCCAGCACTTTGGGGGACCGAGGCGGGTGAATCACAAGGTCAGGAGTTCGAGACAAGCCTGGCCAATACGGTGAAAACTCGTCTCTACTAAAAACACAAAAATTAGCTGGGTGTGGTGGCGGGCGCTTGTAATCCCAGCTACTCAGGAGGCTGAGGCAGGAGAATCACTTGAACCTGGGAGGTGGAGGTTGTAGTGAGCCGAGAAAGTGCCACTGCACTCCAGCCTGGGTGACAGAGTGAGACTCAGTCTCAAAAAAGGAAAAGAAGAAAGAAAGAAAGAAAGAAAGAAAGAAAGAAAGAAAGAAAGAAAGAAAGAAAGAAAGAAAGAAGGAAGGAAGGAAGGAAGGAAGGAAGGAAGGAAGGAAGGAAGGAAGGAAGGAAGGAAGGAGAAAGAAAGAAAGAAAGAAAAAGAAAGAAAGAAAGAAAGAAAGAAAAGAAAAGAAAAGAAAAGAAAAGAAAAGAAAAGAAAAGAAAAGAAAGAGAGAAAGAAAGCTAGAAGGAGAAAGTGCCACTGTACTCCAGCCTGGGTGACAGAGCGAGACTCAGTCTCAAAAAAGAGAAAGAAAGAAGGAAGGAAGAAAGAAAAGGAAGGAAGGAAGGAAAAGAAAAGAGAAAGCTAGGAGGTGTTTCAAAAAGTTAGTCATGAATTATATATGATAACTTAAACTGACCTTGGCCATATGTGAGCTATCCAGCAACTTTACCTCTTTGAAACTCAAACTAAAGGCCACGTGGTATATGCAAAAATTACTTCTGAAAATTGAGTAGAGATGTCACAAAATATACTACAGTTCACAAAGTTCACTTATAGAGAACCCTTTTACATCCTACACCAAAATTTACTTAATCTTATTTTAGATAAGAATTTAATAGGCTCGATACTTCATTCCTAATCCTGAATTATATCTGAGGTCTCAATATTTTTTTAAAAAAGAGAGGGTTGTATATATGCATAAGCACATTGAAAGGAAGAAGTGATAACTGATAGTCATAGACCAGTGCAACAGAAAATGACAAAAAGCAGAAAACAATCTCCAAACAAAATATATAGGGTCATTTAGTGTAAAAGCAAATATCTCTACACTCAATTGTAATACCTGATAGTATAACTATTTTGCTATACAGTGGCATTTCAAAATGTTGCAGTTAGATATGAAAAAAATATGTATGTCCTATCAATTTTATTGTGATAGTGGGTATATACTTTCATCTCAATTGATACAAAATTGCCCTATGGCCTACCACTTACTGTATGCTTTTTAGTTAGTTATATTAATTCATTTATCTGAAAGCTCCAAAGAAGTGAGGTCTTACTAAATATTGAGGAGAAACATAATGATTCTTGTTGGTCTCTTTCGTTAGTAAAATAATTGCTTTGAAAGAACAATTCTGCCATAACGAGAACATAATTTTTCCATTAGAATGGTTAGATGTCAATTTCCAGCTTTGTCTCCTTTGTGTGATTTTGAACTTATCTCTAAATTTCAACTTCTCCACATATAAAATGTGGGCAATGATAACCATCCCAATGGGATACAGTGGGAATTAGTGAGCTTAATAACAATACTTTACATCTACTAATGGTTAATGTCACCTCCGTTTTTCTTTTGTTTGTTTTTCTCCTCCTTGCATTTTTCCCCTAGGAATGTAAGAGAAACTGCTTTTTCTAGAATAGAAAAAAAGAACACTTAAGATATAAAGATGTTCAACCCATATAAATAATTTATCTGTTAAATGAACCAGTCTGACAGTTCTAAAATACCAAGAACAATAATTGATTATAAGAATGTTTATGGTAATAAAAATTATGATAATTATTGTATTAAAAATGACAATTACATGGATACATGCATTGTACATATTGGTTAGTATAGTTGTCTTCCATATTGTTTACTTAATATGCTTGCTTCTCTAAGTTTTCTAGACAATGCCACAGATATTAATTGTGCATTTTACAGTGTTTCCTTAGGTAGGATTTGGCCTCATTCATTGTTCGTAATAGGCTAATCAGGGTCAAAAGATAAAGGAAAATTATGGAATGTGATCAGGCACTGCTACAGAGAGATAAGAATGATTTAGAGAGTATTCTAAGGGCAACCTTAAAAGGAAAGAAATATGGAATGAAGAACGCTAAAGGGAGGGATATTTTTAATTCAAAATACACACAAAACTTAGATATTATAAAGAGTCTTTAGGAAAACAAATCTGAATTTTAGAATGTAAACCTGTTTCCAACATGCATTAAAAACCCATTAAACACTCTGCAAGACAGCTTCCAATTTTTCAATGCATCTAAGCTGTAAACAATATATATCAAAAGTAAGAAGAGAAAAATGTTGATTTCAAAGCTCTCAATTTTTTAGAAGACTCATTAAAAAGCAATAAATGAGAACTTAGAGCTTTCTTATAACAATAATTTTAAAGATTTTTTTTTTTCATGTAGAGTCTACTTAAAACTAGAGGGAGTGACTTAATGTGTTTTAAAGAGTTATAGCACGATCTTTTTCCTTTTGTTCACTCCTATCACATTTGTTGTTTATAAAGGATTATAGACAGGAAAAAAGGAATGATCTCAGCATTATCAATCACCAACCTCCTTGATTTCCATATTTTATTCCAAAGTCTGAAGACTTCTGCGTAACTCTGTAGATATGTGGTCAGAATTCAGGGTATTATTTCCTCTATTATAAACATAATAGTAAGTATATGTAGGGCACAGTATTTACTAAGTGTTTCCATAAACACTCCCTAAAAGGGGATCCTCAAGGTTCATAGAGGGCATATCTTTCTAGAAGAAACATTGCTTGGTTGTCCATACTTTAAAATCATAAAGCTAGCTGAGAATATTTTGCAAGAGTCATTCAGCTTGTTTTAACTCTATATTTCATCATGTCTATATTGCACCCACTAGCAGTTCCAGAGCCTCATTACTGGGTTTGGTGGGACCACATAATCACCAAATCATTGCACCCTAATTTCAGGATCCTTGATAGTCTGACTAGTCTATAGAAAAATAACATGATACACAGCTTAATCATATAATGCTGAATTATACCATCTATATGGATAATCCTTGCTCTATTTGGACATCAGCTCATAAGTCATTCAAACAGCTGAGAGCAATTCCCTTTTCCCAGAAAATGCTACTTTGAAAATAATTTTGTGAGTTGTGAGATTATTTCAGCATGTATTTTTAAAAGTATTTGTAATAAGGCATAATTCACATAAAATGCACAGATCTTTCCAGTTTTATGAAAGTCGATATAGCTGGTGACTTTAAGAATATAAACTTGTAAACTTGGTGACTTTAATAATTAAATATTATTTATTTAGCTCAACACCTAAACAAGAAGTAGAACACTTCTATTGCCTAGAAAATTCCCTTGTAAGTCCTTCCATTAAATCCCTGACACTCTCTATCACCACACATGGCTAATTTTTATATTTTTAGTAGATACGGGGTTTCACCACATTGGCCAGGCTGGTCTTGAACTCCTAATCTTGTGATCTGTCTACCTTGGCCTCCCAAAGTGCTGGGATTACAGGCGTGAGCCACCATGCCCAGCGAAATTCTGAATCTTCTTGGATCCCATATAAATAGAATCATACAACATATAATTACTATTAGTATGTCTGAATGATTTAATGAAAATGTTTCATGAGATCCATTCATGCTGTGTATTACAGCAGGCTTTTTTCTCCCCCTGGTTTATTTCTGAGCAATAGGTGTAATACAAGCAGACATAAATCTGTAAAATGGTTCTCTGGCCTTGTTGTGCACGCTCCTGCCAGCAATCCAGTTGCTGCAAATCCTTGCCAGTATTTAGTGTGTCAGCCTTATTTCAGCTATTTTATTGGCATCTGACTGTTTTTATTGTTTTAAATTTTTATTCCCCCAACGATTAATTATGTTGATTACTTTTGTTTTTGTTTTTGTTTTTTTTCTATTGGCTGTGTGCTATTTGATATATCTTCTGTCAGGTATTTGACATTTTCACCATTTTTATTGGGTTGATTGCCTTAAAAATGTGCAGGGATACTGTGTATGTTCTAAAAATAAATATTTAATTTATATATTGTAAATATGTTTCCCTGTCTGTGGCTTGCATACCCATTTTTTAGTGAAAATTTTGGTCAATGGACATTATAAGATTATTATTTTAAATTAATAGACTTTATTTTGAAGAACAGTTTTAGGTTTAAAAAATGTTGAGTGGAATACAGAGTATCCATATACTCTCTCATCTCCAATATTCACATGAAGTGCTATTTCTTACCTTCTCTTTGGCCTCGAAAGCCTTTAGATAAATAAAAGACATAGTTTTCCAGGCTTCATAGAACTGGCCACGTGATAAGTGTTCTCAGCTCAATTATATATGTATAAATATTTAACTTCAAGTTGGAATCTACCATGCTATACTTACAATGTTGGTTCAAGTTATATTCCACAAACTAACTTTGATAAAGATTTCCATGTGGGTAATGAATGTTTGTTTGACGATGAATCCATTTTTTTTCTGTTTTTAAATTAATCCAGTTTAGTATGCTATTTTAATGGGAAATCTTGGATAGGAGAAGGAGTAAATGCTAGGATTCAGTCATCAAAACTATTTCTCTATCTCTCACAATTCAAATTGTTAAATAATGCTGAATGACTAGAAATTTGTAAAGCAATGTATTTATACTTAACACAGCTATTTTTAATTCATTCTTTTATGCTAAAAAAAAAAAAGTTCAAGAAGGGAGAAACCAGCCTGGTAGTATTCACTTATAAAATCACATAAAATACATTGGTGTTTACGGTCACTACAAGGTCAAGATGAGCCAACCAAGTAATGAGTCCACTAAAGTTGCTACAATAATCACACCGTTAATAAGCAAGTATTATATCCATTTACACAGTTCTGAAATCACAATTTATTCTTAAATCATCAATATGCAACTAAAGAATTTGTTTTACTATTTATGCTATTTTAATTTTAAAATAACATGTGCTTGAACAAGAGACATGAAAAGAAATGAAAGTATAGTTTCCCTCTTGGCAGTTACAGAGATGTTTATCTACAACGTTAGCTGGTAACATCAAAAACTTAAACTTTCCAGTTTAGAGATTGGTCTATTTTAAGAAGTAGTATGTTGTCCTTTACTGTAGGTATCCAATTTCCCTTCAAAGATGGCATAAAAGGTATTTCTTATTTGGAAAGTTTATTGAAAAAAATGATTGTAATGTTTCTTCAAACTTTACTCTTTTTATATTATATTTAAAATCTTAGTATGCCAGGAAAAAATGATACCACCATTTGCCACCGGGACCTAATTGACTTTCTGTTTTGTCATATTTTGTCTTTTAGTCAGCAATAATTTACAGACAACAATAAAGTGATAGCGAAAAGAACATTATTAGATATTTTAATAATAATTTATTTTAGCAGATTTCCTTGCATCATTTAAATTTTGGTTCATCAAAAATATCAATATAAGTAGTCATTATTACTTTAAACAAAATAAGATGGTCTGGGTTCTTGCTGCAAAAGATTGCATTATGAAGTCTTTTTTATTGAATAGCTAACTAGATGAGAATATCATAATTCATTTTGTATATAAAAACACAATTTTCTCATCTCTTCTTGAGTTTAAGGCAATTTATAGAGTCTATAGAGTTACTATCTTTCTCTTTGCATTCATCTTCTGGTTTGTCTAAGTGCGAAATATCTTCATCTACTATTTTTTATGTAACACTGTAGACAGGAAATGAAAAAGTTTGAATTATAACTTATTTTCAGTGACAACTAAGAATGGACTGGAAATTTACAGTGCCTCCAAACTTGTTTATAGCTTTTTGAAGAGTGGTTACAATAGTTGTGGTCATACCATAAGAAACAATTTTTTTGAAAAGTTATTTATTCAGTATTGCACTAGCCTTCTAGAAAATTCCAATATTCAAATTTTCTTACTATTCAGTCTTTTATGGCATAATTGATTATAATTAATAAGTAATAGTAAATAAAAATAAAATAAAACATAGAATAATATGGTATCAAAATATTTCATGATGTAGAAATTATGGAGTGCTGCTCCCAGTGGTCTGGGAGCACTCAGCCCTTCCAGCCTGTTGTGGGAAGTCAGGGACCTCGAATGAAGGAACCAGCTGGAGCCATGGCAGAGGAACATAAATTGTGAAGATTTCATGGACATTTACCAGTTCCCAAATAATACTTTCATAATTTCTTACACCTGTCTTACTTTAATCTCTTGATCCTGTTATCTTTGTAAGCTGAGGATGTACGTCACCTCAGGGCCACTGTGATAATTGTGTTAACTGTACAAATTGATTGGAAAACATGTGTGCTTGAACAATATGAAATCAGTGCACCTTGAAAAAAAACAGAATAACAGCAATTTTAGGGAACAAGGGAAGACAACCATAAGGTCTGACTGCCTGCGGGGTCAGGCAAAAACAGCCATATTTTTCTTCTTGCAGAGAGCCTATAAACGGACGTGCAAGTAGTGAAGATATTGCTAAATTATTTTCCTAGCAAGGATTAATACTCTGGGGAAGGAATGCATTGCTGGGGGGAGGTCTATAAATGGCTGCTCTGGCAGTGTCTGTCTTATGCAGTTGAGATAAGGAGTGACATATGCCTTGGTCTCCTGTAGTACCCTCAGGCTTACTAGGGTGGGGAAAAACCCTGCCCTAGTAAATTTGAGGTCAGACCGGTTCTCTGCTCTCAAACCCTGTTTTCTGTTGTTTAAGATGTTTATCAAGACTATATGTGCAACGCTGAACATAGACCCTTATCAGTAATTCTGCTTTTGCCCTTTGCCTTGTGATCTTTGTTTTCACCCTTTGCCTTGTGATCTTTTTTTTTGCCCTCTGCCTTGTGATCTTTGCTTTTGCAAACCCTTGGCCTTGTGATCTTTGTTGGACCCTTATCAGGAGTTTCTGACTTTGCCCTTAGAAGCATGTGATCTTTGTCCTCCTTTTTGCCCTTTGAAGCATGTGATCTTTGTGAACTACTCCCTGTTCTTGCACCTCCCCTCCTTTTGAAATCCTTAATAAAACTTGCTGGCTCTAAGGCTTAGGTGAGCATCACAGTCCTACCGATATGTGATGTCAGCCCCGGCAGCGCAGCTGTAAAATTCCTCTTTGTACTCTTTCTCTTTTTTCCTCAGCTGGCTGACACTTATGGAAAATAGAAAGAACCTACGTTGAAATATTGGGGGTGGGTTCCTGCAATACCAGCCCACCTGGGGCTTGACCTTGAGAGACCAGAGGGCCAAGCTGTGGACATGATCCCTGTTCTCAAACATTAGAGCATGCAGCACAGGGTGTAAAGCTCAGCCTTGCCCCCTAAAAGCATCTAGAAGTAAAGCCATTCAACTATACCCAACTTGCACTATAATCAAACCCTTGTGAAAAATGAAAAGTAAAGATAACAAAAACAAACAAACAAACAACATTTGAAGGACAGCAAGCTCAAAGGATGAAGGAACATCAGGCTTCCCAGATGAGAAATAACCAACACAAGAATTCTGGCAACTCTAACAGCCAGAGTATCTTCTTGCCTTCAAGTGATCACACTAGCTTTCCAGCAAAGGATTTCAAACAGATTGAAATGGCTCGTATGTCAGATACAGAATTCAGAATCTGGATGGCAAATAAGCTCATTGAGATGCAAGAGTAAGTTGAAACCCAATTCAAGGAAAACAGTAAAATAATCCAAGAGTTGAAACACAACACAATCATTTTTTAAAATACCCAAACTTCTGGAAATTAAAAAATAAAATAACTACAAGAATCTCAACATAAAACTGGAAGCATTAATGACAGAATAGACAAAACTAAAGACAGAATCTTAGAGCTTGAAAAATGCTCCTTTGAAGCATGACAGGCAGAAAAAAAAAGAAAAAAGAATTTGAAAAAAATGAACCAAATCTTCAAAGAATATGGGATTATGTGAAGAGATGGAGCCTACAATTAATCGGCATTCCAGAAAGAGAAAGAGAAAGAGTAAGCAACTTCAAGAGCATATTTGAAGATACAGTCTACAAAAGTTTTCCCAATCTTGCTACAGAGTTCAACATGGAAATTCAAGAAATTCAGAGAACTCCATGAGATACTACGCAGGATGACCCCCACTAAGACACATAGTCATCAACTTCTCCAAAGTCAACATGAAAGAAAAAATCTTAAAGGCAATTAGAGATAAGGAGCAGATCACTTACAAAGGGAACCTCATTATACTAACAGCAGACCTCTCAGCAGAAATTTTACAAGCCAGAAGAGATTGGTGACCTATTTTGAATATCCTTAAAAAAATTCCAAATAAGGATTTCATATCCCACTGATATAATTTGGCTGTGTCCCCACCCAAATCTCATCTTGAAGTCACATGTGTTGTGGGAGGGACCTGGTGGGAGGTGACTGAATCATGGAGTAGGTCTTCCTCTTGCTGTTCTTGTGATAGTGAATAAGTCTCATGAGATATGATGGTTTTAACAAGGGGAATTTCTGTGCACAAGCTGTCTCCTCTTGTCTGCTGCCATGTGAGACATGCCTTTCACCTTCTGCCATTATTGTGAGGCCTCCCCAGCCATGTGGAACTGTAAGTCCAATAAACCCCTTTTTCTTGATAAATTACTCAGTCTCAAGTATGTCTTTATCAGCAGTGTGAAAATGGACTAATATAGTAAATTGGTGCCAGGAGTGGGGCACTGCTGAAAAGATACTTGAAAATGTGGAAGCAACTTTGGAACTGGGTAACAGGCAGGGGTTAGAACAGTTTGGAAGGCTCAGAAGAAAACAGGAAATGTGGGAAAGTTTGGAACTTCCTAAAGACTTGTTGAATGGCTTTGACAAAAATGCTGATAGTGACAGGAACAGTAAGATCCAAGCTGAGTTGGTCACACATGGAGAAAAGATACTTGTTGAGAACTAGAGCAAAGGTGACTCTTGTTATGTTTTAGCAAAGAGACTGGTGATATTTTGCCCCATCATAGAGATTTGTGGAACTTTGAATGATCTTGAGAGAGATTATTTAGGGTATCTGGTGGGAGAAATTTCTAAGCAACAAAGCATTCAAGAGGTGACTTGGGTGCTGTTAAAGGTATTCAATTTCAAAAAGCAAATAGAGCATAAAAGTTTGGAAAATTTTTAGCCTGAGAATGCAATAAAAAAGAAAATCCCATTTTCTGAGGAGAAATTCAAGCCAGTTGCAGAAATTTGCATAAGTAATAAGAAGTTGAATGTTAACCACCAAGACAATGAGGAAAATGTCTCCAGAGCATGTCAGAGAACTTTGTGGCAGCCCGTCCCATCACAGGCCCAGAGCCCTAAGAGGAAAATGTGGTTTTGTGGGCCAGGTGCAGGGTCCCTGTGCTGTGTGCAGTCTAGGGACTTGGTGCCCTGTGTCCATGCTGCTCAAGCTGTGACTATAAGGGGCCAAGGTACAGCTTGGGGTATGGCTTCAGAGGTTAGAAGACCCAAGCCTTGACAGCTTCCATGTGTCGAGCCTGCGGGTGCACAGAAATCAAGAATCCGGGTTTGGGAACCTCCACTTAGATTTCAGAGGATGTACAGAAATGCCTGGATGTCCAGGCAGAAGTTTGCTGCAGGTGTGGTGCTCTCATGGAAAGCCTCTGCTAGGGCAGTGCAGAAGGGACATGTGGGGTCAGAGGCCCCACACAAAGTCCTTACTGGGGCACCACCTAGTGGAGTTGTGAGAAGAGGGCCATTGTCCTCCAAACCCTAGAACGGTAGATCCACTGACAGCTTGCATCATATGCCACCATATGCCTAGAAAAGCTGCAGACACTCAACACCAGTCCATGAAAGCAGCTGGGAGGGAGGCAGTACCCTGCAAAGCCACAGGGGCAGAGCTGCCCAAAACTATGGGAACCTACCTCTTGTATCAGCTTGACCTGGATGTGAGACATGGAATCAAAGGAGATAATTTTGGAGCTTTAAGATTGGACTGCCCAGCTGGATTTTGGACTTGCATGGAGCCTCTAGCCCCTTTGTTTTGACCAGTTTCTCCCATTCAGAATGGCTGTATTTACCCAATGCCTGTACCTCCATTATATCTAGGGAGTAACTAGCTTGCTTTTGATTTTACAGGCTCGTAGGCAGAAGGGACTTGTCTTATTACAGGTGAGACTTTGCACTGGAGACTCTTGAGTTAGTTAATGCTGAAATGAGTTAAGACTTTGGGGAACTATTGGGAAGGCATGATTGGTTTTGAAATGTGGGGACATGATATTTAGGAGGGGTCAGGGGTGGAATGATATGGCTTGGCTGTGTCTCCATCCAAACCTCTTCTTGAATTCCCATGTGTTGTGGGAGGGACCTGCTGGAAGGTCATTGAATCATGGGGCAGATCTTTCCCATGCTGTTCTTATGATAGTGAATAAGTCTCACGAGATCTGTTGGTTTTAAAAAGGGGAGTTTCCCTGCACAAGCTTTCTTCTCTTGTCTCCCACCATGTGAGACATGACTTTCACCCTCCATCACGATTGTGAGGCCTCCCCAACCACATGGAACTGTAAGTACAATAAACCCCTTTTTCCTGTATAAATTACCCAGTCTCAAGTATGTCTTTATCAGAAATGTGAAAATGGACTAATACACCCACCAAACTTAACTTCATAAGTGAAAGAGACATGACATCCTTTTCAGACAAGCAAATGCTAAGGAAATTCATTACAACTAGACTGCTTTACAAGAGCTCCTAAATAGAGTTGTAAATAGGGAAAGGAAACAATGATACCTGCCACCACACAAACACACTTAAGCACATATCCCACTGACACTATAAAGCAACTATACAATCAAATCTACCTAACAACCAGCTAACTGTACAATGACAGGATCAAATTCTCTTATGTTAATATTGACCCTGAATGTAAATGGGATATAAAAGACATAGAGAGCTAAGTTGGATAGAGAAACAAGACTCAACTGCCTGCTGTCTTCCAGAGACCTATCTCACAACTAATGACACCTGTGGCTTAAAGAGAAGGGATAAAGATTTATCTGGAAAAAGGAAAACAAAAAAAGAGTAGGAATAACTATTCTTAGATAAAATAGACTTAAAACCAAAAATGATCAAAAACAACAAAGAAGGGCATGACATAATGATAAAGGACTCAATCCAACAAGAACACTTAACTATCCTAAATATATATGCACCCAGCATTGGAGCACCCAGATTCATAAAAACGTGTGTAGAGATCTACAAAGAGATTCAGACAACCACACAATAATACTGGGGGACTTCAACACCCCACTGACAGCATTAGATAGATAATCAAGGCAGAAAACTAACAAATATATTCTGTGTTTAACTCAACACCTGACCAATTGAACCTAGTAGAAATCTACAGAACACACCACCCAACACCAACAGAATATACATTCTTCTCATCTGCACACAGAACATACTCTAAGATCAACCACATGCTTGGCCATAAAGGAAGTCTCAACAAATTAAAAAAAAAAAAAAAGAAAACATACCAACCACACTGTCAGACCACAGTGCAATAAAAATATAAATCAATACCAAGAAGATTTATCAAAACCATACAATTGCATGGAAGTTAGAGAACACGTTCCTGTGTGACTTTTGGGTAAATAACAAAATTGAGAAATAATTAAAACAATTATATGAAACTAATGAAAACAGAGACACAACATACGAGAATATTTGTAACAAAGCTAAGCAGTGTTAAGAAGAAAGTTTATAGTGTTAACACCTACATGGAGAAGTTAGAAAGATCTCAAATTAATAACTTAACATTGTACCCAGAGAAACAAGAAAAACAAGAGCAAACCAAAGCCAAAGCTAACAAAAGAAAATATAAATCAGGACTGAAGTGAACAAAACTGAGACATGAAAGTTCATTCAAAAGGTAAACCAAACCAAAAGTCGGTTCTTCAAAAGATTAAACACGATTAATATACCACTAGCTAGATTAATAAATAAAAAAGAGAAAAGATCCAAATAAAGACAACCAGAGAAACAAAAATCCCTAGAGACTATTATGAATACCTCTATGCACGCAAACTAGAAAACCTAAAAAATATGAACAAATTCCTGGAAACACACAGTCTCCCAAGATTGAACGAGGAAGAGATTAAAATCTTGAAAAGACCAATAACAAGTTCCAAAATTGAATCAGTAATAAAAAGCCTACCAATCAACAAAAAGCCCTGGACCAAATGGATAGATGGATTCATAGTCAAATTCTTCCAGATGTAAAAAGAATAACTAGTACCAATCCTACTAAAAAATTCCAAAAAAATCGATGAAGAGGTAATCCTCCCTAACTCATTCTATGAAGCCAGCACTCATTCTGACAGCAAAGCATGGCAGAGATACAACAAAAAAGGAAAATTTCAGGCCAATATCCCTAATGAGCATAAAGGCAAAAATCTTCAACAAAAAACTAGCTAACTGAATCCAGCAGCACAACAACATGTTAATTCACCATGATCAAGTAGGCTTTATTCCTAGGATGCAAGGTTGGTTCAACATAAACAAATCAATAAATAGGATTCACTACATAAACAGAATTAACAACAAAAGACACATAATTATCTAAATAGAGGCAGAAATGCCTTTGAAAAAAATTTAGCATCCCTTAATGTTAAAAACCTTTAACAAATTAGTCATGGAAGTAGCATAGCTCAAAATAATAAGAGCCATGTATTACATACACACAGCCAACATTATGTTCAATGAGGAAAAGCTGGAAGCATTCCCTTTAAGAACTGGAACAAGATAAGAATGCCCATTATCACCACTCCTATTCAATATAATACTGAAAGTCCTAGTCAGAGAAATTGGGCAAAGAAATAAAAGGCATCCAAATAGGAAGGGAGGAAGTCAAAATATCTCTCTTTGCAGATTATATAACTCTGTACCTAGAAAATCCCATAGACTCCTCCAGAAGACTTCTGGACTGGATTAAAATGACTTCAGTAAAGTTTCTGGATACAAAATCAATGTACAAAAATCAGTAGCCTTTCTATACAACAATAAGATCCAAACACAGAGCCAATTGAAGAATGAAATCCCACTTCCAATAGCCCCCAAAAGAATAAGAAATACAAGGAGGTGAAATGAGAATTACAAAACACTGCTGAGAGAAATTGGAGATGACACAAACAAATGGAAAAAACTTCCATTCTCATTGATAGGAAGAATTAATATACTTCAAATGGCCATATTCTCAAAAGCAATTTACAGATTCAATGCTATTCCTACCAAACTACCAATGACATTCTTAACAGAAAGATAAAAAATATTTAAAAATACATATGGAATCAAAAAAGAGCCAGAATCACCAAAGCAATCCTAAGCAAAAGAATAAAGCTGGAGGCATCATAGTACTCAGTCTCAAACAGTGAAAATGCCCTCTAGATCATCCAGATCAAAAGGAGCAGGTATCAATCATGCCCAAATGCAGCTCAAAACACTTTTCTCAACCACACCCCCATGGGAAACAGCTGTGATAAATCTTTAGGCTACAGTAATCAAAATAGCACAGTATTGGTACAAAAACAGACACATAGACCAGTGGAACAGAACAGAGAATGCAGAAATAAAGCCACACACCTACAACCACCTGATCTTTGACAAAGTTGTCAATAACAAACAGTGGGGAGAGGATTCTCTATTCAATAATCGTGCTGGGATAATTGGCTAGCCATATGCAAAAGACTGAAACTGGAGCCCTTCTTTTCACCATACACAAAAATCAACTCAACATGGATTAAAGACTCAAATGTAAGACCTGAAACAATACAATCCATAGAAGAAAACCTAGGAAATACTGTTCTGAAAATCGGCCTTAACAAAGATTTGTGATAAGTTGTGAAAAGCAATTGCAACTCCTCCAATTGCCAATTTGTTGATTTTGTTAACAAAAATTGATGAGTGGTATTTAACTAAACTATAGAGCTTCTGCACAAGAGAAACTATCAATAAAGTGAACAGACAACCTACAAAATGGGAGAAAATGTCTGCAAAGTACACATTTAACAAAGGTGTAATATCCAGATTCCATAAGGAACTTAAATCAGTAACCAAAGACCAAATAACCCCATTAAAGAATGGGTGAAGAACATGAACAGACACTTTTCAAAAGAAAACATACACATGGCCAACAAGTATATGAAGAAATGCTAAACACCACTAATCATTAGAGAAATGCAAATTAAAACCACAATGAGATACCATCTCACACTAGTCAGAATGGCTATTAATAAAATGTCAAAGAATAGCATGTTGGTGAGACATCAGAGAAATGGGAAAGCTTATATAGTGCTGGAGGAAAGGTAAATTAGTTCAGCTACTGTGGAAAGTATTTTGGAGATTTCTCAAAGAACTTAGAACTACTACTCAACCCAGTGATCACAGTATTGGGCATATACTGAAAGGAAAATAAATTGGTCTACCAAAAAATTTTCTACATGCACTTGTATGTTTATTGCAATGCTATTCACAATAGCAAAGACATAGAATCAATCAAGATGCCCATGAATGTTGGACTAGATTAAAAAAATATGGTACATATGAAATACTATGTGAAATAGTATGAAAAAAATGTGGCACCATGAAATACTATGCAGCCATAAAAAGAACGAAATCATGTCCTTTGCAGCAACATAGATGCCATTGTAGGTCATTATCCTATGTGAACTAATGTAGAAATAGATTACCAAATACTGCATGCTCTCACTTATAAGTGAGCATTAAACATTGAACACACGTGAACACAAAGATGGGAATGATAGTCACTGGGGACTGCTTGAGAGTGAAGTTTGGGAGGGAAATATGGGTTGGAAAGCTACTTTTAAGTACTATACTCACTACCTTGGGTTCAGGATAATTTGTACCCCAATGGTACGCAATTTGCTCATGAAACAAACCTGCACATGCGCCTTCTGAATCTTAAAGTAGAATACAATACATTAAAAAAGAAAAAAATACAATGATTATGTTCATATGATGTATCATAGATTTAGAAACAAATTCAGTTAAGCTGTATGTCAATTATAAGATAGAATGATATTTATTCTAGCATTTAAGGAAATTTTATCTTTGTTATTGGGAAAATTTGTAAAAGATAATAAAATTTATAAAATATCAATCCTTTCAAATAAATAGAACTGCTGAAAAGAAATCAAAATTTCAAATTGTACCCAATTTACTCACAATTAATTGACCATTTTTTGAGCATTTGTCTTTCAAATAAATATGAATCACATATACACCACGGAATACAAGCAAAAGAAGCAGATAAAAGTAAATAAATTTATATTATAATGAATATATACTCAAAAACAACCTCAGGCTAAATTTTAGAGACTATACTATAAATTACTGAACCATCCAGATAAATTTACAATTTGTATGTAATATTTAAGTTTAAAACAGTGAAATAAGACTACATTTGAGACAGATTTTTAGCAACAAATAGTGAAGAAAAAGTTTTATTGGCAGATTGATTTTTTTATTCACCAAAAATTATATTTCAAGTGTGTATTTCTTTGCAAACCACTATAATGTATACTCTGGGGAAGTATATGAACCTCTTTGCTCTCATGAATACAATTCTATTTTTATGTCTAATGGTGTATAACAAGCTACCACAGAACTTAGTGATTTAAAATGTAATTTTATTTTGCTCAGGGTTTTGTGAATTAAAAAAAAAATGAGAAGGGCTTAACAGGGAAGTTTGGTATCAGTTGGGTTGGCTGGGGCCAGAGCATCTACTTTCAACACAGCTTATTCAGTCATGTGTCTGACATCTTGGTGCTTTTTGGCTTCTCTTTCTCCACATGTTATTTTATTCTCCAGGGCCTTTTCTTGTGGCTTCAGTTTCTCATAATGTGTTGGTGTTAGGGCAGTTATATTTTCTAAACAGCAGCTGGATTTCCTCAGAGTGTTTCAGGAGAAATGGATGGAGGAAGCAACCTTTCTTAAGATCTACCCTTGAAAAGTCTCTCATTATTTTTCCTACCACATTATTTTTGACCAAATCAGCCCACCTGTACATGGCTTTCTTACTTTTAACATGGAACCTCTTCTGTTCTTGAAAGCCCTATGATCCATGGTAAACTTGAATGTTGGTCACCCTATCTATTCTCAACCAGTTTACTAAGGCTGACCTAGATTCAAGGGAGAAGAGTAGAAAAATATCTGTGGCCATTTTTAAGTTACCCAAGTCTTTTATATGATTACAAATTAGATTTCTTACACATTCAAGGTACATCTTTAGGGCAACTACTTCAGAACTGAAGTTCAGGTTCTCATCAGTTAGATGAGATCCAGGCAAGAATAAGGTTCTTTGGCATCATTTCCTCAGGTAAGTTTTCTCTCAGTCAAACTTCCTGAATTCAGAGACAAGATGCATACTCCTCCCACACACTCAACTTACAATGCTGCAACAAAGAGGAAGACTGCAAAAAACACTCATACTTTTAAAAGTAGAAATGGGAGATACCAAACCACACAGTGATCCATAACAGTCCCTAAATTCGTCCAGAAGCATGTGGTCATGTCCTTGCCTAGCACTCAGTCTCTGGAATGTTTCCCACGGCTCTTGGGAGCCTTCCTCAGGGCTCTTGGATTCACCCTTTGAGTCATCCCTTTATTTTCTTAAGAAATATCCCATGTTTACCACTGAGTTTCTTTCTCCAAAGTTGGAAATCACTCTTCGTTTGGAACTGACTCTATCCCTTTCAATCCAAGCTGGAAAAATGCCTTTAAAAACCGTGTCACTTTCCTATGTATCAAATTACAACCCACTCCAATACACAAAAGTCACACTCGTGTTTCTTTCTAAGATAAGCTTTTTAATATCTTGGACTAAGTGTTAAAGTGCTGTGCTTAAGATGGTTAGAAGCATTTTGTCTTGTTCACAGAGTCTACAAAACATGCCATTTAGATTCAGAGAGAAATTTTCATCTAGTAGAGACTGTCTAAGAGGCAGATCCTTAAGAATCTTACAGGTTATACTGAGCAAGCACATATATCTTTCTGAAGTCTCACTACAGGGTTTTAAAGCCATAGCATTGAGAGTTTTACCCTGTGACCATGCTTTACTAGTAGAACCTGGATTGGGTATTTTTCCTGAGACCAGAGAATTTTGCCTGTAGAAGAAAATAAGGATGAGAGCTTGATTTTAGAACCCAGCAAATATTTTCTTCTTTATATGGCCCAGATTCTGCTTGAAAACTGAAAATTCAATTTATTTTTGTTTTATCTATATTTTACCACATGCAGCTAAAATAAACAATTTGGCAGTTTCAACAATGTGCCTGAAAAGCCTCATAGCCAAATATTAAAGTATACTAGACATGTTTTCTATTCATTTTATTTTCACATACAACAATGTTGCCAAACTTACCTCTACTACATAAAACAGTTCACTTTTTTTGTAGACTTCAATGCCAGTTTCACCCCTGCCCTTCAAATTATCAGTAACAACTTTCACTAACAACAAAGATGGGGAAAAAGTCTTTAAATTCGGCAAATGGTTCATTTTATTCATTCACCAATTATTTTTCAAAGTTTATCATCTACAAAGCCCCACAGTAAATACTCTAGGCAATGTGATAAACTATATTTGGGTCTTGAACATCTAAATTAACATGACCTGAATTAAAATGTGGTAAGTGCTGAATATGATGTATAGGTGAAGTTCTAAAGGGGTTTCAGAGAGAAAGATTTGTGTTTTGTTTTGCTTTTGTTTGTTTCCTGGCTCAGTTTAGACTTGGTCCTACAAAGATCAGGGATAAGAATTGCAAGTCAGCAGGGAATTTATTTGAACTGGAAACAGAAGTGGGTTTGGGAAACATGACTTTGTTTCTTAGGGTAGATCACAGAAATGAGAGGAAGGAATGGGACATAACTGGGTCAAGAAATGGAGCCAGGGTTATAAATGTCAGGCTAATGATTTTAGATGTTTTTGTCTATAGAAAATGGAAAGGCATTATTGCTGTTGTTATTGTTGTTGTTTTCATTGTTTTTAATTTGGTTATATAAAGATTAATCCGGAGATGCAGGCTGGACTAGAGAGGAGGCCATGGGAATAGGTCATCAGTTAGGAGTGCTGGCTTCATTTCTGAAGCAACATCTGAATGCCTGTAAGAGAACATTGGCAGTGGGAATGGAGAGAGTGAGGCAGATCAGATAGATTATGAATTAAGCATTCACTGTAATTCATTATCTTTTTTCTCACTCTTATTATCTCTCTATCCATCTAAATGAACAATTCCTTATTATATGTAATTTTGCTGGAACTAATGGCAAATGCAGTTTATAAATTCAACTACCTGTTGTAAAAACGTAAATATGGAGAGTTACTTTCAGAATTTCTTGTATCCAGAATACTACTTTCGTTAAAAGGATTTATCAGTCTGTTTCCAGTTATTCAGTTGCTAATGAGTTTCTGAAGAGAGCAGCATTCAGATGAAGTAGATGGTGGTTGAAGTCTTCTGGAAAACACGGCTGCTTATTGTTGACTAGAATCAAGATGCAATTAATCATGCTTTTGACTTATCCCTGAAAGTAACTGTCACTTCTGGTGACTTAAATGTAAGTAATGTAAGGTCATCTTAGACAGTTTTGAAGTTAGATTGCTTTTGCATTTGGACATATCCAAAGGCTAAGAGTATCTTAATTTATTTAAAATACATCTTATAAAAGGAAATGCATTTATTCAAATGACTTTCTCTTTATTTCCAGTTCTTCGTTATATATAATTTTCTCACATAAAGAAAACAGATTTTCTTTTTTGGTCATCAAATCCAGTGATAAACAGCTCTTTATCAATGTATTGGCTTCAGCTTTGACTCCTTCTACCTATTAACACCAATATCTGAAAAACTGATAATTCCTCTTTAACATCCTGGATCCAAAAGCTCTATTTTCAACACTCTGCCATAAAACCTGTGTGTATAACTTTCAAGGGTAGCACAATATCTTCCCAAATTTAGTCTGACGCTGCAATAGAAATAACAATAAACTTAGTTTAAATTATGCTAATAAAATAATATAAAAAATCACATAATAATAGAGTGCATTGAGTATTCGTTTCTAATGGATTGGCATGAATTAAATGGTTTTTAAAGATGGGAACAATTTCTTTTGAGAACAGAACATTCATTGCTTTCTAAAAACAATTTGAGTTCATTTGGAAAGGTAAGCATGAGTTTAAAAAATATTTTATTTTTCCAGTATCTTTAAGAATGGATAATATTTACTAAACCGATAGGTAAAATTTAAACATTTCTTTAATATGGTCTTTCAGCTCTTTAAAAAAGAATATGCTATGTAAATATTCTATATATCTCTTTCTTTCCGCAGATATACCATTATCTGATCTCAAATTTTGTGTTTAAATTACCCAATATATACTTGAAACTAAAAACTATGTAGACATACACTACCACTATTCTCAGTGAAAAACAAAGGAGAAAAACATGAAAATCAATGAACTACTGGAAATCATCCCAAATGATATTTAAAGAATGATAGAATTTGGAAAATAGAGTCACAACTGATGCTTATTTGGCTAAGGATCTGGATGGAGCTTGGAAATAAGAAATAAAAATGAACTAAGCCAAGTCACAAAGTATCTAAAACTAAATGAAACAGTACAAGCATGTGTAAGTGACATTTTTTGATGAGTGACATTTTAAGAAAAGTAGAAAAGCACACTCTTTTTTAGAATGTAAGATAGATAAAAAGCTTAAGATTTAATTACTCTTGAGAAATACAAGGCACAGCCAGTCACCCTGACTTGCCCTAAGACTGTTCATGTTTTTTTTTTTTTTCTTGTCGCTCAGTTAAGCATAAATTCATAGATTTCATGGTTAAAAGAGCCTGAGATGAGATGCTGGTTGCCTGCACTTAGTCCTGCCACTTCTTATCGGACCATCTGCTGTCACCTCAAAAAGCCAAGACTGTATAATCTCGGTAAACATACGAACCATTCCTGCATTTAATTTTGGTTGGAAGGAAGACCCCATTATGTGTATTGATTTTGAAGTGTCACTACCTTCTTTTGATGAATTCTCAGTACCTTATAGCAACTGACTGCATTTCCATGAACATAATATTAAGTCTTAAAAGTGTTTACTACACACTTCTTACATAAATGCTTAACAAAGTTCATGATCTTAGAAGTAAATCTAATTTGCATGAAAGCCTGCCTACGGGTTTTATTCACCTTCTGGATTTAAGTAGCATTTGTCATCTACGGACCCAAATGTGCTGGAGCTGGCACAGAGTTAGTGATAAGCAGAAGCAATGATTGCTGGTTGCTGAAACTACCAGTGCCAGTTTAAAACTCCTGAAAACTCTCTTGGCTGAAGACTGGATTGCACCTGACCGTTGGAGCATGTGGGTGTCCTTGCAGTGTGTCTATATGTGTGTTCTTGTAAGTGGGGGGTTAGGAGTGGTAGGGTTGGGGAAAACCAGAAGAGATCAAATAATCACAGCTATGAGAAAGGACATTTTATAGAGGATTCACCTTTCCTCAAATCTTTAGCTGCACATTTTATTTTACTCCATTCTCAATTTTATTAATTATTTAGAGATCTGTGTGAGATCTATAAATAGTACAGCATACAGATTGAAGAAGCTTAGCAAACCTCACAGTATAGTCCAACTAGTGAAAATGAAAGATAAAGAGAGAATCTGGAAAGCTGCCAAAGAAAAATGACACTCACTTAAAATGCAATGGTAATTCTAAAGATGGCAGACTTTTCGTCAGAAACTATGGAGGACAAAGACGGCATAAAGACATTTTTAAAGTGCTGAAAGAAAAAGAAAATCACCAACCCAGATAACACCCACAACAGCCAGTGAAATTATTCTTTCAGAATGAAGGTGAAGTAAAAAATTTTCAGATAAAATAAAACTATGAGAATTGATGGTCAGGACACCATCCGCACAAAATAAACTAAAGGAAGTTTTCAGGATTAAAGAAAATGATACCAGTGGAAAATTCAAATCTTTGGGAATGAATGAAATTGTAAATGTAGCACAAAAATAAGACAATATTTTTATTAATTTCTTTAAATTACACATGACTTGTTTAAAACAATCTAACAATGTCTTAAGATATTTATTATATATAACATAAGAACATTAGCATAAAGAATGGTGAGCTGATAGAAGTAAATCAAAATATATGTTCTTATTTTTCCCTACATTTTAAAGAAGTTATGCCATATGTATTCTAAGTAAAATGTGAAGAGTTGAAGATAATTTTCTATAATACCTAGAGAATTCTATAAGTAAATAAAGTGAAGACATGTAGCTAAAAAGAGAATAGATAAATTGAAATAAAATTCTAAACAATGCTTTAATTCACTCCAAAAGAAGGCAGAAAAAGAAAAAAAGAAACAAATAAAATAAAAAAAATACATGAACAAATGATAAAATGAAACCTCTAAATAGAACCACTAGAAGCACATCAATATTTACATTAAATGTTAATGTATTAAGCACTCTATTAAAAGGCAGATGCTTTTAGAATGAGTATAAAAAGGAAGGCCTAACAGTTAATGTTATCTATAAAAGATGCACTTTAAATATAAAGAAGTAGCTATGTTGGAAATCCATGGATGAAAAAAGATATAGTATGTAAATAGTAAGTATAAGAAAGCTAGAATGAATATATTGTCAGATAAAATCCACTTGAGACAAAGCACATTACAAAAAACTGATACATTTAATAAAAGGGCCAATTCATAAAGAAAATATAACAATCATGAATATGTATGTACTTAAGAGAGGCTCAAAATATATCACGCAAAAATTAGCAGGATTTTATGATCATAGCAGTAGATAGTAACTACTCCAAATGATTGCACATCAAGACAAAAATATCAAAGAATACATAGGGAATCTGGGCACTATTTCTTATCTTGACCTAATTGATATTTGTTGAACATTATACGTAACTGCAAAATATGAAATTTATTTCAAGAACTCATTGTATGTTCTAAAAGACAGACAAGTATGTTAAATCATTTAAAACACTCAACAAATTTAAAAATTTTAAGATTATATAAAGTATATTCTCTGTATACAATGAAGTTAAATTAGAAATTGATTAAAATTATTTAGAAAACTCTAAATATGTGAAAATTAAAAAACAAGGCTCAAAATAATTTATCGAAGAAGAAATGACATGAAATATTAGATAATATATTAAAGTAAATGAAAATAAAATCAAAACCTTTCAAAATTAATGAGATCCACCCATAGAAATCCAATAGAGGAAATGTAAAGGTTTTGATGCATATATTAGAAAACAAGAAAAGTCTAGAATTAATGAACTAAACTTTCAGTTTAAGAAACTGAAGATAAAAATAGTAAATTAAATTTAAAGTAAGTAGAAGACAGAACAAAGATCAAAATAGAAATCAATAACATGCAAAATGGGGACCAATAAAGAACAGAAAAGAAACCAAAGGCCAGTTATTTGACAAGACGAATAAACATGATAAAAGTCTAGCTTGAATCAGCAACAAAAAGTTACAAAAATTGTCATTGGAAATGAAACAGACACCATCACCATATTGTCGACAGATATTAAGAGAATAATAATTTTATGGACAATAAATGTGACATTTTAGGTGAAATAGGTAAATTCCTTCAGACATAAATTGCCAAAATTGACACCAGAAAATACGAATAGCAACATATTTATTAATTTTTTAAATATCAAAAACCTACCCTTCAAGAAAACTCTAGGTTTTCTCTAAATTATGTTTTCTTGGCAAATTTTATGAAACAGTTAAGGGGCAATTTACACCAAACTTACACAAACTCTTTCAGAGAATAGAAGAGGGGCCCACAACCCCCAACTCATTTTAAGAGGCATCCGTGTTACATCAAAACCTGATAAAGGTTTTACAAAACAAGAAAATTAGAGACTAATATTCCTTATAAAATGAGATGCAAAATTACTTAATGAATTATATCATAACCAAAAGGAGTTTAACTCAGGAATCCAAGTGTTGTAGGCAGGCTCTATGATGGCTCCTACTAGTCCCTGCATCCTGGTATTCATGGTCTTGTAATCATTTCACATTGAATGTTGGCTGGGTTTAGTGACTCACTTCTAACTTCTGATGTTCTGTTACCAGAAAGTACATTTTTACTTCAGCTTTTGTCTTGCTGTTCTTTCTCCTTCCGTCTCTCTCTCTCTCTCTTTCTCTCTCTCTCTTTCTGTCTTAAACTGCTCACTCTTAAAGAAGCCAGCTGTCCTGTCATGAGGCAGTTCTGTAGCAAAAAATAGCCAGTAAGAAACTGAGGCCTTCAGCTCAATAGCCCGTGAGGAATGGAGGCCCACACGAGTAAGCTTAGAAGATCTTTGTCCAATTGCATCTTTAGATGCAATTGTTTGCCTGAATCCTCCTAAGAAACCTTGCACCAAAGCCATCTATCTAAGCTGAACTTGGCTTCCTGACCCACAAAAAATGTGAGATAAATGTTTATTGTTTTAAAGTGCTGTCTTTTGGATGTAATTTATTGCAGTTTAACCTTAAAATAATCAAATTAAGATAAATGAAGAACAACTATATTATCATTTAAATAGATATAGAAAAAGCATATAACATGTATGACAACAACTGATGATTAAAAAAACTCACTAAGAAAAGTGTGCAACTAATCTGCTTAAAGGTGAAATATTGAAATGTTTCCCCTAAGTCTAGGAACCAGATAAAAATGTGCACTCCCAACACATGTGTTTGATATTTTATATCATATATATTTAATATCATATATATGGAATGTTTTATATTTTTTTAAAATACATATATTTCACTTCATGATGTGTACTCTCACCACTTGTGTATAATATTTTATTGACATCTTGGTGCAATAAAACATGAAAAAGAAATAAAAAAAGTAAAGATGAGAAAGGAAGTAATAAGGCTATTTCTATTTGCACATGACAGGATTATTTACATAGAAAGTTTTATTTAGACTCTAGAACCAAGAAGTAAAAATTAGAAATAAGGCATAATAAAAGTGAAATATTTTCAAATTCAGCTGTATTTTTATATACTAACAACTATCATTTTAACTTTAAAAGCATTTCCATGTGTAATTCTCTGAAAAAACTTAAAACACTCTAGAATAAATTAACAGAAGATGTGCAAGCTATTATTATCAAAACTAGGTAACATTGCTGAGAGAAAGTAAAGAAGCCATAAATTAATAGGGTAATGAACAATTGATTGACAGATTCATTATTAAGATAACATTTGTTCCAGAATTCACCTATGGATTCAAAGCTATCACTTTCAAAATACCACTATTTATTTTATAGAAATTAGCAAAGATATTCTAAAAAGTTTTATGATAATGTTAATGATCCAGAATAGATAAATTATTAAAATAAGTTTGGAAGAGTTAAAAATGACCTGATTTCAAGAATAGTATAAGGTTAGTGCAATTAAGCGAGTGAGATTTGTATGTTAAAATAGGCATATAGAGCGCTGGGCGCGGTGGCTCACGCCTGTAATCCCAGCACTTTGGGAGGCCGAGGTGGGCAGATCACGAGGTCAGGAGATTGAGACCATCCTGGCTAACACGGTGAAACCCCATCTCTACTAAAAATACAAAAAATTGGCTGGGCGTGGTGGCAGGCGCCTGTAGTCCCAGCTACTCGGGAGACTGAGGCAGGAGAATGGTGTGAACTTGGGAGGCGGAGCTTGCAGTGAGCCGAGATCACGCCACTGTACTCCAGCCTGGGGGACAGAGCAAAACTCCGTCTCAAAAAAAAAAAAAAAAAAATTAGCATATAGATTAATGAAACAGAAGAGGGATTTCAGAAAAAGAAACTCTTATATATGGTCAATTAACTTTTGACAAAGATTTTGAGGAAATTCAGTGGTAAAAGGAAAGTCTTTTTAACAAATTGTGTTGGAACAATTAAATATACATATAGAAAAAGTAAATTTTGACTCCTATCAAACAAAACGCATAAATATCAACTCAAAACTCTATTAAGTAGAGATCTAAATGTGAAGGTTAAAATAATAAAACTTTTAATAGAAGAGAAATCAGAAATCTTTACTAACTCAGAGTATGAAAAGATTTCTTAGTACATAAAAAGTATGAATTAAAAAGAATCCACTTAATTTTGTTGAAATCAAATATTTTTTGCTCTTAAAAGAGCATATAAAAGAGGAAAGGCAAGCTATGAAATGGGATAAGATATTTGCAATGACAAATTTCAAACAACAAACTTTTATCCAGTATATATAAATAGTCCTTATAACTCAATAATAGAAGATTAAAAACAACCTATAATAAAATGGGAGAAAGATTTCACAAAAGAAGATACACAAATGTCCACTTAACACATGAAAACAGCATTAGGAATCAGGGAAATGCAAATTACAACTACAAAGAAATATCTCTAAATAGTCACAAAATAGCTAAAATTTTAAAAGACCAAAAGTACACAGTTTTGATGAAGGCATGGAATAAGTGAAATACTCATATGCTGCTAGTATGAATGTAAAATGGCATGATCACTTTGACAACTGTTGGCATATATAATGGCATATAATGTAGCCATTCTATTCCTAGGTATTTATCTAAGAGAAATACAAATATACAAATATATATCCACATAAATACTTGTGTAAAGATGTTCAACCTACATTATTCACCATAGCCAAAACCTGGGAACAATGCTAAGTCTTACCAACAAATGAATGAATGAGCTCAGTTATATGTATGGAATGGAATACTCATTAGAAATACATAGCTGAGGAAAACTGTTACACATAGCAATAAATATCAATTTCAAAAGTATGTGAGTAAAAGAAGCAAGACAGAAACAAATACATGCAACACAATTTAATTTGTATATAATTCTAGAAAGTACAAACTGATTTATAGTGACAAAACGATCAATGGTTTCCTGGGCTTGAGATGGAGGGAGTCACACTTCCAAAAAGAAAGAACATTTTAAGAGGTGATAGATTCTTTATATTGATTGTGATCATGTCTTCATGGGCATGTACTTCTGGTAAAATCAATCACACAAATCATACGATTTAAATAGATATGGTACATAAACTTATACAGTATTTAAATCACACTTCAATAAAATTAATTAAACAAAAAATTTAAAACTTGAGTCTAAACCTCACTCATAAAGAAAAATGAACTGAGCCACCTGAGTGTAATCATAATAGCACTGGGTAAAATATGAAAGCATTATGTGATTGTTGTTATGGAATATAACCATATAAACCAGGCACATGCAATGTATGAGGTCCTATGCTCTAAATGTGATGAAACACGACAAAAAACAGAAACTCTGAAAGTACTTTCCGGAAACATTGGTGACTTCACATGACTAAAAACTCCCCAGTCCTTTTCCTCAAATCTTGTATACCAGCTAAGGAGCTGGAAATACATACATACCAGCCCCTAAGCTGGTATACATATACATATATAATATATGTTTTTCATGACTATATATATATACACACACACATATATCCGCTGTAAGAGAGTTCTCCTTAACTAATTAAAATCTGGAAATCTGGAAGCAAAACCACATGGCTGCCCAGAGGAAAGATATACTTCCAGGTAAACAAGACGGAGAAGTGATCATGGAAGAGCTGACACCATGCAGAGATCTTAAAGACTGGTGAGATACTGGGAAGCTTAAGGGAGAATAGTCAGACAAGAAAGCCATAGTTATTGAAAGAAAATAGAGGCAACCAAGAGACTGGGTTCTGCACGGAAGTAGTAGCTAAGGTAGGAAGGTTCTGGGTGACTGTATCTCAGCTTCTGTTTGATTAATCTGTGCCAATATCTTCTGTTATTTATTTTTAAAATTTGCTACATCTCAGAAATGCATTAACTATACCATTTTCAATTTAAAATGGGTGTATGGGCTCTGAAAAGTGATACTGATATGCTCAACTAGGAAGCCCTGCCATTGGTAAAATGAGATTTCACACAGGTACATTGTCTCTTGAGTAACTCTATTATGGACCCAGTAATGCCTACCCAATTAATCACTGAGGCTCAGACAGATTCACTGAGGCAGACAGCAGCCAAAGAGTGATGATTTAGATCAACCTTAGAAAGAGGTTTCAAAGAGCATTAGGCGCACTGAAATCCTGTGGTCCATCAAACTTGCATTAATCCTACCAGCCCTTCACTGGGCCCTCAGTGCTCTCAAGCATCCATGAATTTGCCTGCTCCCTTTCTGTCCCTATTCACCACTGCAGTGCTTCCAAGATTCCCCAGGCACTTCTCACACTCACTAGAAATCTTTGCTTCCTACTTCACATAAATAGAGGTTAGCAGTCCTAAATCTACTCAATAAACTTGTCCAGTCTATTTTCAAAATTCTCTTGATTTATAAGAGAAGTCTCTTCTCTTGCCCAAGGTTAATTTGTTCCTCTTACGTCTTCTGACTTCCTTTAAGACATTGTACCATATGCTATTTCACCTCTCTTTCCAGTTCTATGTTTTCTATTACCATTAAGGCCTTCAATGAACTCAATTTGCTCTCATTTTAAAACTAAAAAGCAAGAGTAAAAAAAATCAGAAAAATACCGTTTCTTCTACATTGTCGTTTATTCAAATGTTTTAAAATACAGTGTATTAATATAAATTTTGAGGTATAGTAAGGCCAACAGATCAGCAACTTATTGCCATTGAAAACAGTCTATTACTCACAGTTTTCAAGAGGAGGGGACACACCATGCTACAGGGAGCCATGTAGGAAAGTGCTAGGCTGGGCCATGGGGCAGAGGGCAGAGTGAGAACTGTGGGCAAAAGCCTGTATTGTGGTTTCCACATGAAGGGAAAGATGAGACAGAGTAAGCAGGTTTAGGATTGGCTAGTTGAAATAATTTCAGCAGGCTCTGGGGTGCAGAGACTGTTCCTAGTTATCTGGCACCTGCCCTGGATGATTAGAGCAGGTGGATAGTGACCCAGAGTGTGTACACTGAGTACAAAAGGTGATTATGGCATGGGCTCTGGATTGGTTGGTTTGTATTTGAAAAACATGTACCAGGAAAATTGCTCTAGAGAAGTGTGTGGAGGAACAATGAGAGAGGCAGGAAGCCAGGACAAGGTGATTTGGGTGTATTATCAGGTTGTCCAAAGCAAGAAGTATTCAGCACATGCATGGAGGGCAATTAACACACAATTTATAGAAGCAATTAACATGGTTAGTACATGCAGCTACCATGCCAAAATTTTTGTCCTCTTCAAGATAGAAGTTCCTGAAGTAGCTTTATTTAGTATTTGTACTACTTGCTCACTACTCAGCAAGAATAAATTTTCTGCCGAGCTCTATAAAGACTTTGAAATTGATGTAAGGTCTGCAATGAGTTCTTAAATGTCTCTTCAACTTTGTCACTGCTCTTGCTCATAGCCACTAGCTTCATTCAGGCACTTGTTATCTCTTGTCAGAACTATCTTAATTGCCCTGTAAACAGCTTCATGCATCTAGATTCCAACCTATACCCTGACCTATCTAGCATTCTAAAGCACACATCTCATGGTCCTCTTCATTGTCTATTACAGGCTACAGAACACACACACTCCAGCCTCATAAAGTAGTTTTCCAGTCTCTCTCCATCCACGTGATACCCTTCAATGTTACCTTCTACAATTTAGTCACATTAAGTTATCTGAAACTCAAGTGCTCAATTTTGCCCCCATGCCTATATACACATGGTTAGCTTTTGTGTGGGAAACCACTCAGCGCCCCTGGGGCCACTACTCTTTTGTTAATATGGTAGGCTGACTACATTGATGGCCCAGATCTTCACTTCTCCCATCATAAGTGAGGAACTCTGTCTCACACATTGGCCCTCAGATTCACCATGTGACATACAGCCCACCTCGGAAGCATGGGAGAACACGGGGGAGATCATAAACTGCCTAGCTGACCTAAGGACTTATAGGAAATTATTAATAATAAAATTAATGAATGGCTGCTGCATTGAGCCACTAATTTATACTGCAGTTTCTTAAACAATGGTGCCTAACTGACAAATTAATTTTACATAGACTAGGACCTCTCAAACACTACGTGTTAATCATCTTTATGTGCCCAGTATTTTGCAGAAAGTAGCTGCTCAAATGTGTGATGAGCCTATCAATCAATAAATGAAATATTACTAATACTCCTCCTCTTTCCTATTCTTTCCTTCCAGTAATTTTTTACCCCTTGCATTTGATCCCTTTCCAAAGTTTAAAAATAATAAATAGGTTACTGCAGTATATGAATCGTAATGTTATCATAAACATAGATTGTCATAAAAATAAATCTAAAGAAGTATTGAAAATCATCATTGGTGGTTCTTGTGAGGCCCAAGTACATCATATTATCAACAACCTGTGCTTATTCTAATGTTTTATTTTATAACTGTACTGACATTGCACATAATGAAATTGTAAAACTCAAGACAGTGTTACCATTTGTGAAATGGCAAGACATTATAAACTAAATCATGAATAAATATAAATTTCCATGAATTTAAGCTATAGGCACTATCCACCTTCAACTCAAATACCAGGTTATTTTATGGAAATTAGAAGGGAAAAATATTCAGGAGTTTCTTAGTAGCTCTCTTTGCAAATTAACTTGTAATGATTCTTAAGAAGTTGCCCTAGAACATAATCACTATTCTCCTTTAGTTATTCAAACATTAGCCTCTCCTATTTTAATGAAATTACAATAGAATTTTGAGCCCTTGTTGAAACATGCCATAAGATTACTAATGACAATTTTTAAGTTATCTAACCAGTCAAGCATTCAGCAATCCACAAATTTGGCTATGTTTATTATTGAGCTGCATAAACCATAGTATATTATCATATATTTAATTTCTCAAACATCATGACAATATAAATAACATATAAGAAATAAATGTTTTTTAGGAATACATGGAAGTTTAGTATCCTTTTGCCTATCTGGTGTGCACTAATTTATATATGTATTAATTCAACAAATATTTTGAGGACCAAATATGTTTGAGCTAATGCCAGCCAAGGTGGAAAACACAACAGTTTTGTGGAAAATAGAGCTATTTAAATAATTACAATCCCATGAGTGCTAGTCTTGATGTATATAAAAATTTCAAGAAACTGGAGGAGAGGTTAATGCATTTTTCTAGGGAAATCCTCAAGAAAGAAATGGTTTTGGGATCAGGTGTTCCAGACTAAGTCGGATCTCATAGGTAGACAAGGTGTAAAATGGCATTCTGAGACAGAGACAATGGCATATTTAAAGTCAAAGACACTGGGAAGGGTCTGCTGGTTCTCTGAAGAGTTCCCCTTGACTATGGAGTCAAGGGGAACAAGTTTATGGACCAGCAGCAGCAGCATCGCCAGGGAGTTTGTTAGAAATGCACATTCTCTGGACCCATCCCAGTCTTGCTGAATCAGACTCTGGTGAGGCAGAAAAATCTGTGTTTAATAATTTGCCACATGCTTATTGAGCATGTCAACATTCAAGAAGTATGACTATTGGAAAGTAGTTCCAAAGCATAAGGTGTACCAAAATCACGTGACACTCTGGGTGTTTCAAAATACCAACTTTTGATCCTTACCCTAAAGTTTCTGATCCAGTACGTCCGGATGAGCTTAAGAATTGCATCTCTAACATGTTCCCAGGTTATGTCAAGGCTGCAGATCCAGGAAACATACCGAACTAGGGGTGTGAGTAGCTGATGTTGAATTTAAATGCCATTTGAGGCCAGATTATCAAAGAAGTATGTGGGTGGTAGGCAGAATGTTAAGATTTCCTTTACAATTTCAGACCTTTGGTGTATATACCCCCTCTCCATGTTATGCAATTAAGTACTATTCTCAGTACTGTTTGAAGGGTTTTAAAGGTGTAATTATGATCCCAATCACTTGAATTTTAAGTACGAATATTTTTCAGACAGTTCAAAATAAATCAGTTGAGCACATTAAATCTAGACCTAGATGTTGGAAAATGAAGATGTTAAGAGATTTATAATTCGAGATCCATGCCGTTGGAGGGTCCCAGTATCAAGGAATACTGGTAGTTTCTAGAAGCTTAATGTGTGGTTGTCTCAGTTGTACAATCACAAAAGACTGATTTTTTTTTTTTTGGCCAAAAACAAAAATTAAATTGGAACTAGTGAGAGGTGAAGCCAGCTGGACTTCCTTGGTTGAGTGGGGACTTGGAGAACTTCTCTTACAAGAGGTTTGTAAAATGCACCAATTAGTGCTTTCTAAAAATGCTCCAATCGGTGCTCTGTAGCTAGCTAGAGTTTTGTAAAATGCACCAACCAGCGCTATGTAGCTAGCTAGAGGTTAGTAAAATGGACCAATCAGCACCCTGTAAAGTAGACCAATCAGCACTCTGTTAAATGGACCAATCAGCAGGACATGGGTGGGACAAATAAGGGAATAAAAGCTGGACACCCCCAGCCAGCAGTGGCAACCCGCTTGGGTCCCCTTCCGCACTGTCCAGGCTTTGTTCTTTTGCTCTTCACAATAAATGCTGCTGCTCACTCTTTGGGTCCAAGCCACCTTTAAGAGCTGTAACACTCACCACGAAGGTCCGCAGCTTCATTCTTGAAGTCAAGGAGACCACAAACCCACCGGAAGGAACCAACTCCGGACATACTAGGTTTTTTTTCTCTCCCAGAGCCTGCAAATATTAACTCAGTTGGGCTGACACCTTAATTTCAGCCCTGTGATTCCCTGGGCAGAGAAGCCAGCCATGACACACCAGACCTCTGACCTACAGAAGTGTGGTTTTAAGTCACTAAGTTAGTGGTAACTTGTTACACAACAACTGAAAACAAATACAGACTATAAATGTCAGCCTTTAAATAGTTTGTATTTCAAGATCAATCCATTAATATTGGAGAGTTATTAAATATTTTTAAGCAAATGTAAGTTTTTTGTTTGTTTGTTTGTTTCTAGACATGGTCTTGCTCTTGCTCTTTCATCCAGACAGGAGTTCAGTGGCTTGATCATGACTCACCATATCCTTGCCCTCCCAGACTCAAGCAGATCCTCCCACCTGAGCCTCCCAATTAGCTGGGACTACAGGCATAAGCCACCGTGTCTGGCTAATTTTTAAATTTTTTGCAGAAATGGTGTCTCCCTCTGTTGCCAAGGCTGGTCTTGAACTCCTGGGCTCATGTAATCTTCCCATCTTGGCCTCTCAAAGTGTTGGTATTATAGGTGTAAGTCGCTGTAGCCAGCCTATAGGTATGTTTCTTTTTGCTTAATTTGAAAAAGTCTAACTCCTGTGACTACAAGGGAAACGGTTCAAAAAGGTTTAAAGGAGGCAAGAGTGGAGCTGAGGAAGTAAGCTATAAAGCCGTTATGAAGTAACTGACAAATATCTGAAGGTAGTAAGCAGCAATGGACATATTAGAAACAGGAAGAATTTTTTATTTTAGAGACTCGGTATGAAAGACAAGAGAGAGATGGGGAGCAAAGTAATTTCCGGGGTTTCTAGACTGGGTGAATCTCAGAGCCCAGTGAAAACAGGAGCTTTAAATACATTAGAAGAGAAGCTTAATGAAAGTTCAAATTAATAATGTATTATTATTATTATTATTATTGAAAGTCTTTGGAGAGAGGAAATTAGAAAAAGCAAGACAAGTTAATTGTTTCCCCCCAAGTAATAATTTAACACAGATATGAAAATTATTTTATATGACCTATTACTAATGCACTAGTATCTACCTTTCTTTCCAATGACTAATTTTTCTCCAAAATATGTGATTTATGTTTCCTTAATTTCATTAAAGATCAGTGTTTTCTCCTCTAGGATGGTAATATGTAGGTACTTCGTACTCAGATGTTAAGCAACTGAACTGAGAAAGTCCCAAAATAAATGTCTGTGCAAATGAGCCATATGCCCCTGGGTTAAAGGACAATGACACAGTCTTAACCAGTCATGCGCTTTCTAGCTCATACCCTGATAAATGAAAGGGCAAGGAGAGTTGTGTTTAATAGTATATTCTTCAATGAAATGTCACTTTTTCCTCAATGTGTCCTCTGGGTGAGCTCATTAAAATCATGTTTGCTGCAATGTCAGCACACCAAGTTGCTGACTTTCTTGTTGCCTTACCACATGGTACAAAAATGAATTCTGCCATAGGATAAGCTTAGGTCTTAAAGGCTCCATATCATGGAGTATAATGTATATTCTTGTTTTGCAATCCATAGTTCTAACATCTCTATCTCTCCCTTTTATGTTATTAGCACTCATTCGTATCACATGTGGATGGGAATTAAATACACTGAAATGGCATTACTAATGTTCTATGGCCCAAATCCAGAAAAATAACTATCTTACTAAATATATCTGAACCTCTCAGTTCTACTTAGTGGAAATTGGTATAGTGTCACACAGTTTTACATTCTTAACTACTGCTAAAAGACTATGCTTGACAAATACCATTTAGCCCCTCAAATTATAAAAGCAATGTTCGACTTCAATAAGTTGAAATATACACTATAAATATGTATAAAAGCAATATTAATAATCACCCCTCCCTTTCATACATTTCTCACATGACCATTGAAACCAATGCTAAGAATATGTTGCATACATTTGCATAGCTTTCTCCTTGCTCATATATAGTTGATATATACATGGTTGGTAAGTAAGTGGTTTAAAGAGTAATTTTCTTGTAATGCAGTTGCCTTGATCCTCATAAATATAAATACAACTCAATTAATGGATAACCTTTCATCTTAAGCTATACCATGAAGTTACCATGCAATAGTTATATGATTTGCTATGTTCTGCAATATGTAATACCTGAATAACGTTAACAGAAAGACACATGAATAAATAAAATAGACATGCTTTTAAATTATACAAATTATCTGTTTGTTTAATTGAAGCTCTTTATTTCTGTTGTTATGAAATAAAAAATTTGGTTTAATTAATTTTTATGCATGTGGGAATTCTCTACTAGCTGAGGAGAAGAACTCTGAAAAGCTACCAGTTTTCACTACATGCAACTCTGGAACATTTCCTGAGTCAAACCTTATTATTTATAAACGACAACAAAGGTGTCAATAAAATGACAGTGGATTTATCAACGGATTACTGTTTGCATTGTGAATAATTTAGAGTAATTTATTATACTCTAACAAATTAAAAAAATATAACAGGTATGGAGAAGAAGAGGATTCTCTTCTATACAGTGTGTTGTTTATAGTGTCATTTTCAAAACTAACTGCAAAATAATTAAGAAATCTGACATTTATACTAAAATTTTGCCAATAAAACAAAATTTCTAAATTCATCTATTGATATTGAAATATATGAAGCATAAACTTTATTTGCTATAAAATTGAAAGCCACATTTATAATAAATTTTATAGCTGAATCAAAATAATGTCACAGCAAATAAACTTAACTGCAGTAAAGAATTTATGCATTGTACTTATACTGTCATTATTCTTACCTTATCTTCAGAAGTACTTCCTACAAAGTTTGGAACATTGTAGTACAGTGTTTATAAAAAGAGCTAGACAGGCCGGGCGTGGTGGCTCATGCCTGTAATCCCAGCACTTTGGGAGGCCGAGGTGGGCGGATCACGAGGTCAGGCGATCAAGACCATCCTGGCTAACACGGTGAAACCCCGTCTCTACTAAAAATAGAAAAAATTAGCCCAGCGTAGTGGCGGGTGCCTGTAGTCCCAGCTACTCGGGAGGCTGAGGCAGGAGAATGGCATGAACCTGGGAGGCAGAGCTTGCAGTGAGCCGAGATTGCGCCACTGCACTCCAGCCTGGGCGACAGAGCCAGACTCCGTCTGAAAAAAAAAAAAAAAAAAAAAAAGAGCTAGACAAAAAGGTTTCCTTATCTCTGTGTTAGATTGTGTTGTTCCTTTACTGGATAACCTCAGGTACATCTTGATCTACTAGTTTATTAAGTGATACAAGCTGTAACTAATTTATTGACAAACATCTTTTTCTCTTTCTTTTATGTTTTTTTTCTGATTTTGAAACTTATTCGTGTCAGAAGTTATGTAGACAGAACTTTTCAAATATGTAATTCTTTCAAATTTAGTACCTTTAATGCTTATGTATTTTTGCCAGTGTAAATGTTAAATCCACAAAGAAAACCAGTGTTCCATGTAAGAATCCAATAAAGAAATAATTACGGAGTCAATAACAGAAAAAATATTTGTCACAATGCTGTAGAGATAAGTTGCCAAGTGTCGACCCCACAAAACGTTGGTACTCTACATAAACCTTTCCTAGGAGAACAGGCAAGTGACAATTTACTATCTGTGGAACAGAACATCTGACCCTCTCCAACCCCCAGCAGCCAAGTAACAACTTTGCAAAGCCTTGGTGCTCTGTACAAACGTTTCTCAGGCTAGGAGGCAAGCCGCTGTCCAGGCATATCTGTGCAGCATAGCCTCTGGCCCTGCCAACCAGAGAAGCTGAACAGCAACCTCAGAGACCTCACTCAACCCTAGAGCGCAGAATGCAGCTCTGTCCATCTAAAGATTTCAACTGGAAGGACCACCCAGCCAGGGAAGACAGCATGCAATCCTGCCTAATCAGAGGATGTGGTGAAGACAAGTCAGTAGCTCTGCTTGGCTGTGGAGTCCAGCCAGTGGTCTTACTGGTCTGTGGAGCACTGCTAGCAGTTCCACTCCACCTCAGACAAGACAGTGGCCCTGCTCAACTAGAGAACCTGGCAGCAGGGTCTATTTGTCCAGAATTGCTACCAACTGGCCTATCTAGAATCCCAGGCTAGTCTAAATAGTAAAGATCCATCTCTACAAAGAACATCTGCAAAGGCTGGTAGAGGTGGCCATTTTCTTAAATGTTCAGACACCAATGAGAGGACACAAGGATTACAAAACATCAGGGGGACATAACACCCTTAAAAAAAGAACCTAGTAAAGCTCCAATAATAGAACCTGAAAAAAATGAAAATCGGTGAAATTACTGACAAATAATCCAAAATAATCCTAAGAAGGTCAGATAATTATCATAAAAGATGGCTAGAAAATTAAATAGAACCTGGAAAACATTTCATTAACAGAATGAGAAGTTTGACAAAAAATATAAACAATAAAAAAGAAATTCTAGATACAAAGATTAAAATAAATGAACAAAAAAGTAGACTTGACCAAGCAAAAGAAAAAATCAGTGAGCTTGAAGAGAGAACATTTGAAATTATCTAAAGGGGCATTAAGAAAAAGAAATGAAGAAGGTTTTTGGAAATTATGGGCACCATTAAGAGCACTAACTTTTGCATCATTCAATTCCTGAAGGAGAAAAGAGAGAAAAAGGCCCACAAAGCATGTTTAAGAAAATAATGGCTAAACGTTTCCAATATCTATGGAAAGAGAACAATCTCTACATACAGGAAGCTCGAACTCTTCAGTCAGATTAAAACCAAAAAGGAGTTCACCAAGATGCATCATAACCAAACCTGCAAAAACCAAAGGCAAAAAAAAAAAAATCTGAAAGCAACCAAATATTAAAAATACGTATCACATACAAGGGAGTTCCAATATGGCTATCAGCAGATTTCTCATCAGAAACTCTGTAAGCCAGAAGAGAGTAAGATAATATATTCAAAGTGCTGAAGGTAAAAATTGCCAACCAAGAATACTTTATTTCTCATAGCTGTCCTTTAGGAATAATGGAAAAATAAAAAAGTTCCTCAGGCAGACGAAAGCTGAAGGTGTTCATCACCACTTGGCTTGCCTTACAAGATTTACCAATGGAAGTTATTTAACCTGAAATAAAAGGCTACTAATTAATAACATAAAACATGGAAGCAAAAATCTCAATGGTATTAGTAATGCAGAGTCACATTCAGAATACTCTAATAATATAATGTTGGTGTGCAAAACAATTTTATCTCTACTATGTGAATTAAAAGACAAAAATACTGAAAACAACTATAGCTACAATAAATTGGTAAGGGATACAGATTATTAAAAGATGTAAATGTTGATGTCAAAACCATAAATTTAGGGGGAAGGAATGAAAGTATACAGTGATTGTATGCAATTAGAGTTAAACTGTTATCAGCTCACAATAGCTTGGTATGAGGTATTTTATGTAAAGCCTCATAGTAACCACAAAAAAAACTATGATAGTTGCACAAAACATTTTTGAAAATGATTCAAAGCATATCACCACAGAAAACCATCAAAGCACAGTGATGGCAAGAGAAGAAGAAGAAAAAAAAAGATCAACAGAACAACAACAAAAATTAAAAATGGCAGTCACAAGTTCTTACCTATCAATAATTACTTTAAATATAAATGGAATACATTCTCCAATCAAAAGATATAGAGTGACTGAATGAATAAAAAACAAGACCCAATTACTTTCTGCCTTCAAGAGACTCACTTTACTAGTAAGGGCACTAAGACTGAAAGTGAAGAAATGCATAATGATACTTCATGCAAATGGAAACCCAGAGACAGGAGAGGTGGCTATACTTAGACAAAACACACTTAATTCAAGAACTATAAAAAGAGAGAAAAAACTCATTATATGAAGACAAAAGGGTCAATTTATGAAGAGGACATAATCATTGTAAATATAAATGTACCCAACATTGGAGTACCTAAATATATAAAGTAATGTTAAATGAACTGTAGAGAGAAATAAACTGCAATACAATAATAGTTGGGGATCTCAATACCCCACTCCCAACAATGAATATATCACCCAGACAGAAAATCAACAAGGAAACATTGGGCATAAATTACATTTTGTATCAAATAGACCCAACATACATATTCAGAATATTCCATTCAAAATTAACAGATTATACATTTTTTTCTCAAGCAGATAAGGAACATTCTCCAAGATAGATTGTAGGTTCAGTCACAAAGCAAGTCTTAAAAAGTTTGCAGGGTTTGAAATCATATCAAGTATCTATTCTGATTACAGATACATGAAACTAGAAATTAACAATAGGAAGAAATTTGGAGAATAAACGTGTGGAAATTAAACAAGTTATGCTTTAACAACCCGTGGATCACAGGATAAATAAAAAAATTAAAAAATGCCTTGAGTCAAATAAAAATAGAAATACAAGCTTATTCAATGCAGCAAAAGCAATCCCAAGAGAGAAATTTATAGCAACAAATGCCTGTTTCGAAAAAGAAGATCTCAACGAATTTAATGTTACACCTCAAGAACCTAGAAAAAGATGAATATGGGAAGTGCCTGGCCCTGCTGCCATGGGGTGGAAAATCACAGACACCAGGATGGGGACTGCCGCTGCCTCTGCCACCATGAGTGATCAGCAGTTGGACTATGCCTTAGACCTAATGAGGCACCTACCTCCACAGCAAATTGAGAAAAAGCTCAGCAACCTGATTGACCTGATCCCTCATCTATGTGAAGATCTCTTGCCTTCTGTTAATCAGATAATGAAAATTGCCAGAGACAAGGAAGTGGGAAAGGATTACCTTTTGTGTGACTGCAACAGAGATGGGGATTGCTATAGGTCAAGGGGATTGCTATAGATCAAGATAAAAGTCTGCTGGGATTCACATTGTGGACTGTGAAAAGGCACAGCACCTTCTCTCCCTGAGAATAAAGCCAGATGGCCACCCTCTGCCATTTCTGAACCTGTCTCCCATCATACATTGCTATCCAAACTCTTCATATTTCCATAGAGACCGTGTGTTTTCTCTTCACCTGGGCCCCTGCCCCTGTTTCCTCCCAGTCCCCCAACTTATAAGCATAACATACACTGTCTGTCAGGCTCCCTTCCCTTCCACCTTTTTGTTACATTGGTGTAAAAAATGTAAAACAAAAAAATTATGAACTAAAAAAAAAGATGAATATATTAAGCCCCAAGTTAGCAAACAGAAGAAAATAATAAAGATTTGAACAGAGATAAATGTAATAGAGAGTAGAAAAATAATAGAAAAAAATCAACAAACCAAGAGTTGGTTTTTTGAAAAGACAAAATCACCAAATCCTTAGCTAGACTATCTAGGAAAATAGGAGTTATTAAAGCTGGACAAGGATACTACAAGGAAAGAAAATTATAGGCCAATATTTCTGATGACCATAAATGCAAAAATTCTCAATATTAAGAAACCAAATTGAACAACACATTATAGAATCACTGACCATGATTTTAGGGGGGAATTATCTCTGGGATCCAAAGATAGTTCAATATAAACAAATCAATAAATGTAATATGCCACATTAACGGAATGAAGGACGCAAACCTTATGATCATTTCAATAGATGCAGAAAGAGCATTTGACAAAATATAATACTCTTTCATAATAAAAACTGTCTACAGATTAGGTATAGATTAAATATACCTCAACACAATAAAGACTATAAATAACAAATACTAATTAACATTATATTCAGTGGTGAAAAGCAAAGTAAAGTGCTTTTCTGCTAAGATCAGGGTCAAGATAAGGATGCTCACACTCACCACTTACTTTCAACACAGTACTGGAAGTCCTAGCTAGAGCAATTAGGCAAGAGAAAGAAATAAAAGGCATACTAATAGGAAAGTAAGATGTGAAATTGCTGATCACATGATCTGTTAAAAAGGAAACCTTAAGGATTCCACCAAAAAATTGTTAGAAGAGTTAAACAAATTCAGTAAAGTTGCAGGATACAAAATTCATATAGAAAATATATATGCTATGTTTATATATACTAATAATGAACTAGCAGAAAAAATTAATTCTATTTACAATAGCAACAAAGATACTTAGGTGCAAATTTACTTAGAGGTGAAACACATATATGCTGAAAATTATAAAACACTGATGAAAGAAATTGATTAAAACACAAATAAATGAAAAAAATCCCATGTTCATGTACTGAAAGAATTAGTAGTGTTAAAATGTATATATTACCCAAAGTGATTTAAAGAGTCAATGCAATCCCTATCAAAATTGCATGGCATTTTTCAAGAAATAGGGAAAACGATGTTTAAAGTTGTATGAAACTATGAAATAATGTGAATAGCCAAAACAACCTTGAACAAAAAGAACAAGGTTAAAGGCATTGCACTTCATGACTTCAAAAGTTATTATAATTAAAACAGCATGCTACTGGCATAAAAACAGAGACATCAATGAATGAAGCAGGAAGAAAGCTCAGAAACAAACCAACACATTTATGGTCAATTGATTTTGGACAAGTATGTCAAGAATACTCAATGGGAAAAAGAGAGTGTCTTCAATAAATTATATTGACACTACTCAACTTTAAACTATACCATAAGGCTACAGTAATAAAAACAGCATGGTACTAGTATAAAAACCTACACATAGACCAATGAAACATAATATAAAGCACAGTAAAAAGATACACACCTACAACTGTCTAATCTTTGACAAAAGTCACAAAAACAGGCAACGGTGAAGTAATTCTCAATTCAATAAATGGAGCTGGGATATCTGACTACCCATATGCAGAAGAATGAAATTAGACCCTTACCTTTCACCACATACAAAAATTAAATAAGATGTATTAAAGATTTAAATGTAAGAGTTCTAACTATAAAAATCTTAAAAGAAAACCTAGGAAATACTCTTCTCAATATTGGTCTTGGCAAAGAATTTGTGGCTAAGTTTTGAAAAGCAATTGCAATAAAACCAAAAATTGATAAGTGGGATATAGTTAAACTAAAGAGCTACAGTACAGCAAAAGAAACTATCAACAGAGTAAACAGGCAACATATCAAATGGGAGAAAATATTTGCAAACTATGCATCCAACAAAGGTCTAATGTCCAGAATCTATAAGGGACTTGAACAAATCAACAAGCAAAAAAAAAAAAAAAAAAAAAAAAACCATTAGAAATGGGCAATGGATATGAAGAGACGCTTCTCAAAAAAGACATCAAACAGCCAAAAAGACATAGAAATAGCCAACAGACATTTTAAAAAATGTTTATCATCTCTAATCATCAGAGAAATGCAAATAAAAACCATGATGAGATACCATTTCACACTAGTCAAAATGACTTATATTAAAAAAGTCAAAAAAATAGACTTGGGTGAAGTTGTGGAGAAAAAGAAATACTTATAAACTGCTAGTGGGAATATAAATTAGTTCACCCACTGTGGAAAGCAGTTTGGTGATTTCTCAAGGAACTTAAAACAAAGCTACCATTGAACCCAGCAATCCTATTACTGGATGTATAAGCCAAAGAAAATAGATCATTATACCAAAGAGACACAAGCACTTGCATGTTCATCACAACACAATTTACAATAGAAAAGACATGGAATCAACCTAGGTGCCCATCAAGAGTGGATTTGGATAAAGAAAATGTAGTACATATACTACATGGAATAGTATGCAGCCGTAAAAAATAATGAAATCATGTCCTTTGCAGCAACAGGGTTATAGCTGGAGTCCATAATCCTAAGTGAATTACTGCAGGAACAAAAAATTAAATACTACATGTTCTCACTTGTAAGTGGGAGTTAAACATTGAACACACATGGACAGAAACATGGGAACAAGAGACATGTGGGCTACTAGAGTGGGGAGGGAGCAGGGTGTGAATTGAAAATCTACCTATTATGTACCATGTTCACTACCTGGGTGTAATATACCTATGTAATAAATCTGTACATGTACCTCCTGATTCTAAAATAAAAGTTGAAATTAAAAACAAAACAAAAAATTGTGTAGGGAAAACCGGTTTGCCACATGCAGAAGGATAAGATTGGACCCGTATATTATACCATACACAAATATCAACTCAAAATGGAAGAAGGCCTAAATATAAAACCTGAAACTGTTAAACTACTAGAAAAAAATATGGGACAACTTATACAACATTAGTTGGGCAATGACTTTTGCATATAACCTCATGGGGTTGCATCAAACTAAAATGCTTCTGCACAACAAAGAAAACAATTAACAAAGTGCAGAAGCAACCTACAGAGTGGATTAAAATATTTCCAAACTACTCATCTGATTAGGAGTTAATATCCAAAATATATAAGAACTCAAACAACTCAATAGCAAAAACAAACAACCTGATTAAAAAAGTAGGCAAATGATCTAAAAAAACATTTCTCAAAAGAAGACATCCAAACGACTAAGAGGTACATAAAAAAGATTCTCAGTATCACTAACCATTAGGGAAATACAAATTAAAACCACAATAAGCTATCACCTCACACCTGTTGCATATTATCAAAATGATGAAAGATTACAAGTACTGGTGAGGATGTAAACAAAAGGGAATCATTGCACACTGTTCATGGGAATGTAAATTAGCACATACAGTATGCAAAATTGTGTGGAGGTTCCTTAAAAAACTAAATTAGAACTATCATATGATCCAATAATCCCACTATTGAGTATGTATCCAAAGGAAAGGAAATCAGTATGTCAAAGAGTTATATTTACCTCCATGTTCATTGCAGCACTATTTACAATAGCCAAGATGCAGAATAAACCCAAGTGTCTATCAATGGATGAATGAAGAAAGTGAATGTGGTATATATACACACAATGCAATATTATTCAGCCATAAAAAGAACAAAATTCTGTTACTGGAGGCCATGTGAATGACCCTGGAGGACATTATGTTAAGTGAAATAATCCAGACATTTTATCCTATAAATGTATACAATTATAATTTGTCAATTAAAATAGCATTATTAAAAATACTAAAGAGTGCAGACTGTACCAATTCCTCTTCTTAACACTGTTATGTTAGACAGAGTAGCATTAAGGGTCAGCCTTGCATGTTCAATTAAACTGTTATATTCATTTAAAAAAATGTTCACATATGGTCAGATTTTATCATATTTCAAATTATTGCCTTGGGCATAGTTGCATATTTTGTAAAACACAAACACCATTTTTAATTTTCATTAAGACAGCAATAATTCTCAAAGCAATAATTATTCAACAGAATTCAGGAACAGACAACAGCAACAACAGTAAAGGGAGGTAATGCAAAATTTATACTGTATTTTACAGTCTACTACAAAGTAAAGACAGTTTATTGTCTATAGGACTACAGGTGATGCAGTCAGAAAAACTTGAATGGAAGTCTTGGCTTCATGCCCACCAACTGTGCAGATTTGAACCAATATAATTATTCACTGGGCTCTCAGTTTACACATACACAAATTGGAAATAACAGATACCTCTGAGAGTTGTTCTGACAATTAAATAGGATGATGTCTATTAAGTACCTGATACATTGCAAGTTGTCAATATACATTAGTAATTTCATATAATTGTATATAATCCAAAGCAGTTTCTTCAGAGGTGCTGTCATCAAACTCTTGACCATTTAATAGAAATGTAGTTAAATGACTATGATGCATAACAATAAAGTGACCTTTTCACAACTGAGGAAATGAGAAAATTATTGAAGTGGGAAGTAAGAGGAAAAGATATTTAAAATAGCCTTTATTTTAGTATAACATAAAATATATAGAATTCTAAAAATGTTCAAAGAAATCCCTCTAATATTCAGGGAGTTACCTAATATTCACTTAATTTTATTAAAAATACTGATTATAAACACTATATTGCATTCAACATATATTCATGTTTTTCCTCATGTGCCAGGTATTGATAGACACCAGCAGTCACCTTTGATGCCTCCTACTCTCTCCTTTGTACTGGTTCTAAGTCCTGTTCCAGGTCCTGTTCATTCTGTAGTTTCCCATGCCCATGTCCTCCTTGTCATTCCCCTAGTCATTGCTTCTGTTCAGACCTATTTCATCCAAACTTATAAAATGTATTCCCAACTTCTTCTGCAACTTTCATTATTATTTCTTTTAGTGTTTAAGTTGAACTGGTATCAGTTCAATAACATGAGTGAAATTATGTCAACTCTCTAAAACACAAAAACTGGCAAGGATTTTCCCAACACCCCCACAATAAAATCTAACTATTTATGTGATTTTTGTCTCTTTATCATTTGAAGAGACAAAATCCACTTTCCAATTTATTTCCTATAATTACAAGGAAAATAAAGTTTTTGATGAGCATGGGCTATGGATGATTAGTCAGTGGTAATACTAATAGGAATAATGTGGTAAACACTAGAATAAATAATGTTGAAAGCTATGGAAGTTTTGAGGGTAAATTTTATAGTTTAGATAAAATAGATATAGACTTGGTAGGGAAGTGAATGAGATCAACAAGAGCTGGTAACCCAGCGGGAAATGGAGGGAGTGATCATGTGGCTGACATGTGTGCAGTGAGATGTCTATAAAGGTAGAGTTAGTAATCTGGGAGGGATATACTCAAATTTAGACTCCCAAAGTTAAGCAGTTCCACATTCCATAGGTCTAGAATGCAGCCATAGGTTTGATTTACTTTCTGTGTTCTATAGACAGAATGTGTTCCTCCAAAGTTCATATATTGAAATCCAAATCCCCAAGAGGATAATATTAGGAGGTAGGGCCTTTGAGAAGTGATTAGGTCATGAGGGTGAGGCCTTCATGATTGGGAATAGTGTCCTCATAAAACGGCCCAAGAGAGCTAGCTAGTCCCTTCCACACTGTGAGGACACAGCAAAAAGGTGCCATGTGTGATTCAGAAGATGGGCCCTAACCAGTGCTGATATAATAACATGCTGATGCTTTAAACTTGAAACTTCTCCACTTCCATAACTGTGAGAAATAAATTGTTTATAACTTACCCAGTCTATAGTATTTTTATACCAATCAGAACCAAATAAGACATGGAAGTTAAAACATTGTCTTCTCTTCCAGTCTCCAAGAAGAGAGATGCTTCCTAAATAGACCTAGTCGTTTGCAAATCTCTACTCCACCTCCTGAAGTGAAGGGACCTATTTAATGAATTTGGGAAATGGGGTGGCCATATGTGATGAAGCCTCTTTTCTCTTCGTGATCTACTTGGTTGTGGTGAGCACACTCTGGTCTGCTACTCAAGCCATACATTTTATAAATGCAGTTCTGCCCCATCCAGAGTCCACAGTTGTCCTGCATTGCCTGTGACTGAGATCAGAGAGTCTGTCTTTTTCTGGGGTCATTTGGAAGCTCATTGTTTTTCAGTTATCCAAGCCCCATCCTACAAACTATCCCTTATTGGAAATAAGAGTTGTATTTTTATGTTCGTCTAACTTATTCTTTTGATTTATCTCAATAGGTTCAGAATTTGAAGAGTTCTTATTAATTTCTTATGTGTATCTTCTAGGTAAAAAGTTAATATTTGATTGATAGCTGAGTTGTATTCAATGTTAACAGTTATGGAGATATTTTATATGTTTTTTAAGGCATAATGTTTTAGTCATCCCTTAGGTTGTATTATGCCAGACCTAGAATAAAATGCATTGTGTGTTGTGGGAAAGAATACCTTATCAATTCAATGCTCTTTTATGGAAAAATAAAAATAAAATAAAAGATAACTATACCCTAGCTGCTTAAATTGTCTATTCTATAACATCTAGATTTATGTAAAACACAATATTGTAAAGAAAAAATAAAAACTTAAAAATTCATATGTCTAATGTATCAATAGAGAAATTATTTTATTTCTGTTTTATCTTAGCCCAAACTTCATTACACAAACTGAAAATATTTCTCCACAAAATAAATGTCCCAATAATTTGAAGGATATCTGGGTATGTCTTAAGAAAGTGTAGAGAGGCACTATACACTTTGTTGTCCAAATCGTCCACAAAACTACAGGAACATTGTGGAGATATTGTGGATTTTAGTCCAGACCGTGGCAATAAAGTGAATATCACAATAAAGTCAGTCACATTTTTTTTTGGTTTCCCAGTACATATAAAAATTATGTTTACACAATATTATAGTCTATTAAGTGTACAATAGCAGTAAGTCTAAAAATGTACATACCCTAAATAAGAAATATTATATTGCCAAATAATGCTAACAATCACTTAGCATTTGTTTGTTGTAATATTTTCACTGGTGGAAGGTCCTGCCTTGATGTTGATGGCTACTGATGGATCAGGGTGGTGGTTGCTGAAGGTTGGTGTGTCTGTGGAAATTTCTTAAAATAAGACAACAATAAAATTTGCCACATCAATTGACTCTTCCTTTTGCAAAAGATTTTTCTGTAGTGTGATTTGACGGCATTAGAGACCAAGATCTGGGTAGTGGCTATATTTGTTTCTATTTTGATGTAGTTGCCCGTAGGCCACTTAGCTGACAATGAAGGGAAATCTGTTTGTTTATACTGGCCAATGCATATAAACCATAAATATTTCTATATGCAAACATCTGTATCAATATTAAGCTAAACTGAGTTCACTCAGATATCGCCAATGCTAATACACTTCCTTGTGAATCATTCTAGCATTCTCTTCTTTCTTGTCTTTATACTTCCACTGCCACAGTGAGAAAACTGGTTCCAATCTTCCACCATCCATTTACATAAGAGTTTCATTTCAATATGTATGAATAGAGTTGTCAGACTTGTTAATGCATTTCCCCTGATGACAAACAAATCTATAAACTGGAATGTAATGCTTATGTGCAAATTATTTTTATGGTGACAAAAGTGCCTCCATCTTGGGTGCTAATCCGCCATGTTGACTTCTGATTAGCCCTAGTCCCATGAATGCCTCCTGGTCCCTACTTTATTGTCACTAATGTAAGAACATGTACTCACTATAAATCCTGCCTTTAGATCAAAGAAAGCTTGATGTTATCACACAAATTATAGGATGTGATGCACATAACATTGTTGCCTGTTCTAAATGTTTGCCTTCAATTGTCTGGCTGGAGCACATATACCTTTTCCCTGTGGTGTATAAGCCCTGGGTCTGGGAAGTAACTGTGGGTACATATACCTGTCTTGCAGCGGCCAAACACCACCCTTCAGTCTGTAAGTTTCTGTAATAAAACACCCTTTACTGACAAACTGGATTTGTCTATTTTCTTTGGTTTCTTTGCTCCTGTGGCATTTGGGGTTTGCCTTGCATGTGTAGCCCTATCACAGAAGACTTTGCATTTATTTTTATAGACTCCAATTATTTCAACAGGTATTTAGGTCAACATTTTTTTGACCCCTTTTACTGGCATTGTTTCATACATTTTTAAGAACATGTATATTTTTAAATAGTTACATTCTAATTTCCATCCTGGGATCCCCTGACCATCAGAATGATTTTTTTCCTGACTTTTTAATGATCGCCATCCTAATGGGTGTGAAATGGTATCTCACTGTGGTTTTGATTTGCATTTATGCAATGAACAGTGATGATGAGCTTTTTTTTCATCTGTTTGTTGGCTGCAAAAATGTCTTCTTTTGAGAAGTGTCTGTTCATATCCTTCACCCACTTTTTGATGGGGTTGTTTGGTTTTTTTTCTTGTAAATTTGTTTAAGTTCTTTATAGATTCTGGATTTTAGCCCTTTGTCAGATGGATAGATTGCAAAAATTTTCTCCCATTCTATAGGTTGCCTGTTTACTCTGATGATAGTTTCTTTTGCTATGCAGAAGCTCTTTAGTTCAGTTAGATCCCATTTGTCAATTTTGGCTTTTGTTGCCATTGCTTTTGGTGTTTTAGTCATGAAGTCTTTGCCCATGCCTATGTCCTGAATTGTATTGCCTAGGTTTTCTTCTAAGGTTTTTAAGGTTTTAGGTTTATGTTTAAGTCTTTAATCCATCTTGAGTTAATTTTTGTATAAGGTATAAGGAAGGGGTCCAGTTTCAGTTTTCTGCATATGACTAGCCAGTTGTCAGGAAACAACAGATGCTGGAGAGTATGTGGAGAAATAAGCAGGCTTTTACACTGTCGGTGGGAGTGTAAATTAGTTCAACCATTGTGGAAGACTGTGTGGCTATTCCTCAAGGATCTAGAACCAGAAATATCATTTGACCCAGCAATCCCATTACTGTGTATATAGCCAGAGGATTATAAATCATTCTACCATAAAGACACAAGCACATGTGTGTTTATTGCTGCACTGTTCACAATAGCAAAGTCTTGGAACCAACCCAAATGCCCATCAATGATAGACTGGATAAAGAAAATGTGGCACATATACACCATGGAATACTATGCAGCCACCAAAAAGGATGAGTTCATGTCCTTTGCAGGGACATGGGTGAAGCTGGAAACCATCATTCTCAGCAAACTAACCCAGGAACAGAAAACCAAACACCGCATGTTCTCACTCATAGGTGGGAGTTGAACAATGAGAACACATGGACACAGGGAGGGTAACATCACACACCGGGGCTTGTCAGGTGTGGGGGGCTAGGGGAGGGATAACATTAGGAGAAATACCTAATGTAGATGATGGGTTGATGGATGCAGCAAACCACCATGGCACGTGTATAGCTATGTGACAAACCTGTACATTCTGCACGTGTATCCAAGAACTTAAAGTGTAATTTAAAAAAAGATTTTATTTTTATTTTGGTGTACATTAAGATTTACTCTTTGTGTTGTAAAATTATAAGGCTTTTGACAAGTGCATTATGTCATATATCTACCATTACTATATCTTTTAAAAAACCACTGTACTCCATTTCTGCAAATTGTTGGCAATCACTGATATTTTTCCTGTTTCTATGGTTTTGTCTTTTCTATAATATCAAATAAATGGAGTCATATGATATGTAACCTTTTCAAACTAGCTTCGTTAATGCAGCAACATGCATTTAGCATTCATCCACATTTATGCATGACTTGAGAGCTCATTGCTTTTTTACTATGGAATAGAATGTTGTTGTATGGATGTACCACTGTATGTTTACCCATTCACTCGCTGAAACATATCCAGGTTACTTGGGGGTTTTAGAAATTGTGAATGAAACCGCTATCTTATGCAGGTTTTGTGTGAAGGTAAGTTTTCAAATCAGTTGGGTAAATAACTAGAGTGCCATTTCTGATTTTAATAACAAGACCACGTTTAGCTTTGTAAGAAACTCCCAAACTGTCTTCCAAAACAGTTCTTTCATCTTGCTTTCTCACAAACAGTGAATCAGAGTTCTTGTTGTTCTACATTTTGGCCAGCATTTGCTATTTTTAATTTTTTTGCATTTTCACCACTTTATAGGTGTGTAGTTGTATTACATTGTTGTTTTCATTTGTAGTTCCTTAATGACAAATAATGTCGAGCATCCTTCCATATGTTTGTTTGCCATCTTAACACCTTCTTTGGTAATTTAGGCCTTTTTAAAAATTGCATTGTTTGTATTCATATTTTGAGTTGTAAGAATTCTCTGTTACGATTTGATATTAGATATATATTTTGCACATATTTTCCTGTCTTTTAACATTTTTTGTGTCTTTAAAAGAGCCAAAGTTTTAATTTTAATAAAGTCCAACTTATGAAATTTTTTATTCATTCATTATGATTTTAGTGTTGTATCTAAAAATCTGTCATCATACCCAGGGTCACATGTATTTTCTTCTAGGAATTTTGTAGCTTTTCATTTTACATTTAAGTCTATGTTTCATTTTGAGTTAATATTTGTGTTAGGTATAAGGTCTGTTTCTATGAGCATTTTTATTATTTTTTGCATCTAGACATCCAAACATTCCAGCAGCACATGTTGAAATTTTTATTTTTACTCTATTTAATAACCTTTGCTCCTATGTCAAAATGCAATTGGCTACACTTGTGTGAGTTTAATCTCTAGGCTTGTATTTTGTTGCATAGGTTTTGTTTCCATTCTTTCACCAGTACGATACTTTTTTACTTTAACTTTATGGTCAGTCTTCATGTTGAGTGCCATCAGTTCTTCAGCTATAATGTTTTTCTTTTTCTTTAGTATTTCTTTGGCTCTCCTAGGTCTTTGGCCTTTTCATATAAGTTTGTTGATATCTACAAATACTTCTTTGGAATTTTGATTGAGTTTAATTAATCTGTAAAGTTAAAAGAATTGACATTTTAATATTATTAGATAATTTCAGCCAATGAACATGGACTGTTAGCCAGGATGGTCTAGATCTCCTAACCTTGTGATCCACCCGCCTCGGTCTTCCAAAGTGCTGGGATTACAGGCATGAGCCACCACGCCCGGCCCCCTATTCTATTTTTATGCTCTACTCTTGTAACCATGACTCACCCAGATATATCCATGCCATATTTATAATTCATTTTTTATATTAATAGTTCTTGAGGTTTATATTGTGAGTTATACTTCAGTAAATTCTTGGGTCTATCTCGTCTCTTCTTAGCAGATTTTTAATCAAGCCTTTTCCAATTGTGCATTTTCTGGGTAGTTCTTATTACAGTAGTCCTCATGTTTAAATGTGCAGTAAATAATTTCTTAATGGATCACCTGCACTCCTGCCAAATGAACAACTGCACAAAGAGTCCAGCTGCACTGATTAAAACCTACTAATTGCTTTAATTTGTTTTTCTTAAAAAATTCAGTTGTTTTCTTCTCTTTTTTTATTTATCAGAAATAATTCCTAAATTAGTGAGTAGGGAACAGTCAAATCTATGTTAGAGAGAGGACTGTGTTCGAAGTCTTAAAAGTATAATTGGACCTAACAGTTCATAAATTCCTCTACTGTTTATATCATTTCCTTATTTTCTGTTTGCTTTTAAACTCATCTCAATTCTATGAAAACTAGAAGCCAACATAAGAATATTTAAGTCCATTCCTTAATTAATCCCCAAGGTGTAGAAGGCCTAAACCCCAGGTGCAAAAATTTTAAACAAGACTTAAGTTTGACTGGATTATTATATTAGCTACAGGTTTTAGCATGCACCAGAAGGTAGGAACATTCCTAATGCAGAGGCAGGAGCAAGGAGAAGTGGATATGGCTGCTACTTCCTGAGTTAGATTCTCAAAGCTGGTCTGTTCATTTCATAATAAAGGATTGCTGCAATGCCAGCACATCTGTATTCAGAAACATGCCAGCACTCAATATTAATAACTGAATGTTTTTTGGAATGTCACTGTCACCCTCATTCCCCCTTTGATTTGGGACACTTGCATAATTATTCAGTTCTCTTTGATATAGACCCTTTCTTTATTGCCTCAATGTGGTATCTCTGCTGTATAATTATTAAATACAATTTGGAAGAGAACAAAGAGAAGTTGAAAAATAAATGTCATGCTTCTCTTTGCTTATTGTAAAGCAGAGGTCAGCAAGTTATGTATACACTGTGAGTCAAATCTAGCCCCCTACCTATTTTATTGGAACATAGACATACCCAGTTGCTCATGGATTCCTCAAGTTTGCTTTTTCACTACAATGGCAGATTTGAGCAGCTGTGACGGAAACCATATAACCAGCAAATATTTACTATCTTGCCCTTTAAAGAAAAAGTTTGCTCACCTCTTTTGTCAAAACTTGTTCAAAACACAAGTTTTATATAATGGTGAGTTAAAAATATTTTATCTTTTAGTGTTAGTGTTTGACCAATGCTAACAACATGCCCTACCAAATATTTGAATAAAGGCATGAGGATAATTAATATAAAAACAATTCCTAAGTTGTTATCAAAAATGGTTTTTATTACTATACTTTTAAAACTGCCATTGTGTTTCATTATTTTATTGGTAAACAGATAGTCTTTAAGAATGTTTAAAAGCAATGGAAAATCCCTTGCTGTCTCAGTTACTTTTCTTTTCAAAGAGAAAAGTGTTTTGCTTGAAGTTTCAAGCAACATAATATTTTGTTGTCAATTTTTTTTTGGATCTGTTTTAACACAGGCTTGACAGCACCATAGACAAGTGCCTCTTCTTACTGAAATAAAGTATGAACGGTTGATGCCTAGCACCAGGCAGTATATCAAAGGGTGGTCTACTTATTGTGTTATTTTCTGGTGTTGAATTCTGCACTTTATACAAAACCACAACTGCTAACTTCAAAAATAAGTTTACAGCTAAGAAGCAGACATCTAGAAAGGAAGAGCATTCTAAACAGGATGAATTTGAAAATCTACCAACTAAAATCTTTGAGGAAAATAGTGTCCCCACTTCTATAAACCAAGGCTTCTATCATCGCCAAAATACCTATAAAGTTTATGTTTTTATTTCCCTTTGAAGTGCATTTTAAATCTGAGTTTCTTATTTTGGGTCTTTGTCACTTGTTCATATCTACCATTGGTCATATTTGATGGGAGGTAGGGGACTACCACTAAGCAAGATGATTCCCTTACTTTCTTTCTCACTTCTTGGACTTCACCTTTTACACCTAATTTCCTTTTCTTGTTATTTCCGATTGTTATTTTTTTACATATTTTAAAATCTTAATTCCACTATTTACTCTTTTTTTCTCTGCCTTTTCCTTCTTTGAATCATTTGAGGGGTATATGAAAATTCTCTTCTTCTCATCTTAATTCTCATTGTCACTGCATTTGCTTGAAAAATTATTGTTTTTCTGCTATATCAAACTCCCAAAGCCCTTTTAGCAACTATACAGGGGGGACAGAACAAAAAATTGTAGTCGGGGTCACTATTGATGAATCCTGATTAGAAGTGCTGAACTGTGAGCCACAGTTATCTTTTACTGTCTTATTACCCATTTGCCACATATTAAAGTTTTGGCAATGCTTGTCCAAATAATGACTGGGTAGAAACAGTCAGGTCTTTCTTGGTGCAGTTGGCTAGAAAACAAAACCAGAATTATTTTAGACACAATTTTTAAAAATATTGTCTCGAAAAATACCAAAGCAGGTGTAGACATGTAGAAACATGTCTCAGAAAATACCAAAGCAGGTGTAGACATGTAGAAACATGTCTTGGCAATGGAGAAAATAAAACCAGTGCTGCTTATTCTTCATCAGTATTCCCAGTGTCTCTCCAACTCATGGCTCCACAATCTCCTACAGGAGTGTGGCTTCTTCCATATGAGGAAATATTTAACTCTTCATAACTTTACTTTTGCCACCTTGAGGTGTTGAGTGTCTTCCTTGGCTGCAATGAGAAAAGTCTTGGTGAGGGACTCTGAGGGGTCAGGCTTGGACTTGAGCCCGGTAATGTAACTGAGACACAGTAATCATGGTTAGAGAAAGGTCAAGGCAAAGAGTCCTTATCAGTAGGACACATTGTTCTCATAAGAAGGAAAGTGTTCTAGACAACAGAGCAATGGATATTTACTGCTGACTATTATTGCAGAGTGATCTATTTTCTGTTATTCTTACCCCTTTCCTTCTCTAAATAGTCATTTCTATAAGGATATGATTATGGTTTATTATTTCTGTTTACCCCACGTGTCTAGTACAGTGTTAGGCACATAGTGAAATCACATAAAATCAACAGATTTTTATTGAATTAATAAATCAATTCCTCTCAGTTGAAGATTTCTTTTGAGAGAAACAGTGTTTAAAGTGGGGAAAAATAATGAACCCATTTTTCATTTCATCAGTGTATCTCTTTTCCCCATTACCTGGTCTGTGCAACTAAATGTTAGTGCGTTGGATTATAAGTGTGTTTTATCCATCCTGTTTAGCATAATCCAGAATCCAATGCCAGGACAGCACTCAATAAATAAAATGTAATAATAATATACTTCCCAGGCACTTTCGCTGTCCACTACATCCCAACCAGAAAGGGCCTCTAATTTATCTGCCATCTTGAACAATAACTCTTTGCTTCAGGATATCTTAGATTCTATCAGCAGTCTTGACCTTTCCTCTTCTACTCTAACAGACCCTGGGACATCAGCCTGACTTCAGTTTGGCTGGCAATTCCTGCAACCCCCCTTATTTTCTGTTAGGTTTCATATCTCACAATCAATCTAGAACTGCCTTGCCACAAGCCACAAGCGTCCTTCCCATCCCAGTCCTTTGCCAGCTTTCTACAAATTTGTATCCTTTGAATGGCAAACACTTGAGTGCAACTGTATCTGCATTTTTATACAATTTGGGAATTATTGCAAAAAGTTCAAGGTTATAATGACGTCATCAGTTCATATTTTTTTCAACAAACCAGAATAACTTCAAACTAGCCACACTAAACACAGCTACCTCTTTATCTCTAAAGGTTGCTCTACTCTGATTCCAAAATTTTATTGTTTATTCAAATACTTAGGTCAAAATGAATTTCCAAAGATCTCAGATAACATAGAACTCACAGATGGCAACTGAAATGTAGATCTTACTACAATCACATTAATTTTTTTGGATACCATCTTATTAATTATGACAGACAGAAGAGGAATTATAAACAAAGGGAACTGTTTAGATCCAGACTCTGATGTGACATTTGGGCAAATCACTTCTCCCTTTTTTTGTTTCTGTAGGCTGAGCTACAACTGAATGTTTCAGAATAGTGCAATAAATACCTAGTGTGACCCTCCCTTTGGTCCCAGGTTGAGGGTTGGTACACTCAGTTGAAAACCATTAGCATCGCATGCTCCGCATTCTAAGGCAAGCAATCAATAATTGGTGCAGGACACTGCCTTGTCAAGATATGGTGGAAATGCTCCTATTACCAGCCACCTCCTTCAATCTACTTAAAAAAAGTGGAAAGAAGAGAGGGAGGAGGGTTCCTTAGAGTCATCAGTGACCCAGGCTGTGTGGGGAATGCAGTGTGAATGTTGAGGAACAAATGTGAGAATGACCAGAGTATCACCCATGGGTGGATGATTACAGGAAGCAGTGGATAACCTTGCATGGCCTCCTGGAATGTCACCTTAAGCAAAAGACTTGCCGATCATCCCCAGTGCCGCCCTCAACAGGGAGAAGACAATTAGAGACAGAAGGCAAGGACAAGCATGGGCAATGGCATGTGTCTGCAGTTCTCATTTTGAGCATGGCAAGGATATGTTAGCTTCCCATGGACCCTGTAGAAAGAAGCTACCTGGAGAAACCCCACCAATACTACATCCCAGAAAAGAGGCTCCACACAAGGGCCTGGCAGCACAAATGAAAGTCTTGACAGGGGTACAAAGAAGGACTTAAAAGGTCTAGCCAGGTAATTCCTCACCAAAGAACCCAGGCTACACTGCTCTGCTTTCTGGACATCCTCCCTTGGAGGTTATTAATGGAAAGTTGTTATTGGCTAAAATATCATTAAAAATTGACAAAATGAGGAATGCAATAGTCGAGAAACAGGCTTGTTGGGCCAGATGTGGTGGCTCACACCTGTAATCACAGTGCTTTGAGAGGCCAAGATAGGAGAATCACTTTAGGCTTGGAGTTCTAGACCAGCCTGGGCAACATATCAAGACCCCACCTTTACCAAATATAAAAGGAAAAGGAAAGTCTCTTTCTTTTTCCTAACCATTTCTTTAACACACTCCCAACACTACAGGATTCAAAGTCAAGCAGAGGGAAAAGGGAAGGAGTACTAGGGCAAGCCACACCCTCTGCTAGCTCCATTTACATTGCACCTCCTCAGCTGCAGGTCCAGCCTTGTTTGTGTGAGGGCAGTAGCTTTGATCTGGATATAACATTCAAGTTGTATACAAAAAAAGACTAATGTTAATTAGTTAATTAAATAAAGTAAAGGTTTGTCATCTGCCCTAGGTATCATTATGTGATGGAAAAGATTCAATAAAGCAGAAAGTAAAAAACACCAAAAGTGATAAATATGATGTGTATTCAGTAATCCCCTTCTCTATGGGAAATACTTTCTAAGATCCCCAGTGGATGCTTGAAATCACAGATAGTGCTAAATCCTATATATACTATGTTTCATCCTATGATAAAGTTTACTTTAGAAATCAGGCAGAGTAAAAGACTGAACACCATAACAAATAATAAAAAAGAACAGTTATAAAAATACAGTTGATCCTTGACTAAAGAATAATGGGGGGGGCCAATCCCTCACGTAATAAAAAAATCTGTGTACAACTTTCGACTCCCCAAACACTTAACTCCTAGTAGCCTGCTGTTGACCAGAAGCCTTACTGATAACATAAACCGTCTATATACACATATTTTGTAAGTTATTTATTATATACTGAATTCTAACAATAAATTAAGCTACAGAATAAAATGTTATTAAGAATATAAGGAAGAAAAGATATATTTACTCTTCTTTAAGTGGAAGTGGATCATCGTAAAGGTCTTCATCCTCGGCATTTTCATGTTGAGTAGGCTGAGGAGGGGGAGGAAAAAGACGAGTTGGTCTTGCTGTTTCAAGGGTGGCAGAGATAGAGCAAAAACTGTGTGTAAATGGAGCTGTGTTCAAACCAGCATTGTTCAAGGCTCAACTGTAAACTTTAATAGAAGTTAATTGAATGTGGTCTCTCTCTCTCTCTCTCTCTCTCTCTCCCCTCATGTGTGCATGCACAACATATCTTATTGCATGTAATATTTTTGGAACACGGTTTACCTCTAGTAACTGAAATGTGGAAAGCAAAACCATGGATATGTAGGAGCTACTGTACTTTTTACAACAAAAAGTAAAATGCTTAAGTTAACCAAAAGGTCTCAAATAAAAGTCAGGAAATCTGAATTGTCATCTTGGCTTCACCCACAAGTTGTTGGGCAAGGCACTTCCCCTGTGCCTCATTAGTAAATTGGACAAACGACGTCCTACCTTACCAAGCAGACAAAACTCTGAAAATGATAAGATACACTGTCATTTGTATTATAATGTAGCTGGCACGTAATAAAGTTATTATTTACTGTTAACTTTATTAAGTTGATAGTAAATTGACAGTAGTAATAGTAAGTTACACTTTACTTTTGCTGTGTAACAAATTACCACAAACTTAATAGCATTAAGACAATACTTATCTATTAGCTTGCAGAGTTCTGTAAGTTAGAATTTGAGCAAGGTGCTCTGCTTAAGGCTTCACAAGGCCAAAATCAAGGTGTCTTCCAAGCTGGACTCTATCTGGAGGCTGTGAAGAAGAATCCATAAGCAAATTTATTCAGGTACTTGGCCAAACTCCATTCAGTTCCTCGCAGCTATAGGATTGAAGCCCCTATTTCCTTGTCAGTAGTCTGCCAAGGGTAGTTTCTAAAGGCCATAAAGGCCACCTGCATTCCTTGATACCGGGCCACCTCCCTTTCCAAAGCCAGAAGCTGCACATTGAGGGCATGCTTTCAATCTCTTACTTCCTCTTCCACCAGGGAAAACTTTATGCTTTTAAAGCTTTCACCTCATTGGATCAGGCATCACTGAAAAATCTCTGTATCTTAGGATCAACTGATTTATGACTTTCATCACATTTGCAAAATCTCTTCACAGTAATATGTGCTTGACTGAGCAGGGCATGAGAACACTGGGGGAAAGTAGACGCCTTTAGAATTCTGCATACCACAGTAAATAGGCATTTCAGTTTATTTTCTAAATTATATCATACCATCAAATTGACCAGTAATTAAGTTAACTTTCATGGATAAAATAAATAAATGAGAAAGGTGGGTGAAAACAGGAAATTTCATTTTATTAATACAGAAAATAATTAATTTGTGTAACTGTGAATGAATTTGCTTTCACAAACTCATAATTATAAAATGACTCATGGTGAGATGGATAAATATCTGCGTATGGGAGAAAATTATCAGATAATTCAGAAATGCAGGTATAATCCCATATTTTTCTTCATTAAAATACACAATTTTACAGTAGATTTCCATAGTAATTTATGCTTGTTCTTAAATAAAATACTCCCAAATTTTTCAAAAATGAGTGACTTGCATAGTGATTGAATTTCAATAAATGGCATTTTCCTATGCAATAGTTTCACAGAAAGACTTTTTCAAGAACAAACCATCAGGGATGTTAAATTGACAACAACTGCTTTTCACAATAGGCTATACACTCAAAGCTAGGTTTAAATAATTAAAGTTCCCTATTTGTGGATTTTTTTCAACGATCATGTGTGTGTTTGTATAAAATATTTTAAAGATTACAAAGTGATCTTACACACATTACCCTTTTCATTTGCTTTATTTAAAGTTATTCTCTACTCCTTACCTCCTCCAACCCCTCTGCTACCAAACTAGGCTTCATAAATTTGTTAATGTCTTTATTTTACTCCAAAACAAACAAAGTATTTTTTGGAAGCTCATATTTAATTACCTTCCAAATTACTAAATTTTAGGTGTATCTGAGTTAAACTTGAGATGGAGTGTCTCCTTCACAGGCCTGGTGGAAAAATGATCACAATTTATTTGGTGTTGCTATTGTTTTGTTTTGTTTCTGATGATTTCAGCAATGTTTCAGGGCTCCTGTGTCCACTTCTCACTATTCGCAACTATTTTCATGGCCAGAATTTTCACTAGTCTCTTTTCTTCTCCTGATCCTCCTTTTCTCTAGGACTCTATTCTGCCGGCACTTGCCCGTGTGGGGGTGGAAAACCTCTGAGTAGTCAACAAGCTTTTCTCAAAAGTTTAACATTAACAAGGACTTTTTTTTATGCTTCTAATTTTCTCCCATGACCCCAAATTTCTGCTTCCTTAACCTCCCAACATGTAGAGCCTTAGGTCCGTGGCTGTGAAATCACATGCTCATGTTAAATGTGGAAGCATATGGGAAGTCTAAATAAATAAGTTTGTAAAAGAACCCAAGGGAAGTCAGCCTTGGAAACAGACAAAGCACGGATCATAAACCCTCCCTGGCAGGATACTGCCTATAAGCCTGTCTGTGTCCTTGAAAATCCTTGGGTAAAATTTTAATAAATTAAAACATAGGACCCTAATTTGTACATAGCATGTCTTCAAAATTGTTAACATTAACAATGAATAGAAGCATAAAATTACTTTAAAGTGAGAAAGAAACGGATAGGGAGAGTAATGAAAATGGGGCCATAATGTGCTAGTTAAAAAAAATCTGTGTCTGGAGTCAGGACAACCACAATCAAAGCTGATCACCACCAGGTACCAGATATAGGACTCTGGGTTAATTTCACAACTTTTTTGAGACTTGCTTTTCTTATTTGGAAAACAAGGATGATAATATTTAAAATATAATATTTGTATTATTTAAAAAACAATATAATAATTCTTGAAATGATAAAGGAAAAAATAAGATCTATTTAAACACACAATAATATTTTTCATTTAATCTTATTTTTAGAGTACCCGTTTATCACTAGCCGATGGAAAACAAATTTTGTCATTTCATAGTAACTGTATTGCATTTTAGCAACAGAATGAAAGGATTGTTTTCCAAAACTATCTTAACCATTTAAAATATTGGATCTTATGGATTGATAGCAAATATGGAATTAAGTTCTGTATTTAAAATCAGTAAAATGTTACTTTTGGGATGTTAAGCAAAAGGATTCCACTATGAGCATAAATAATAAATACTGCAAGTGCTTAAAGGGCCACATAATGTTCCATTTTGGTTGGTCCACACTGTGCTATGGCAAACAATTCATTTTAATCAGCTGGAGTATTCTGCGCAAATATGGGTTTTCACCAATCCACATTATTTTAAATATATCGGTTTTTAATCACTAAGAAAACAAAAAGATATGAAATGGGTGTTGGCCGGGCGCGGTGACTCACGCCTGTAATTCCAATACTTTGGGAGGCTGAGGTGGGTAGATCACCTGAGGTCAGGAGTTTGAGACAAGCCTGACCAACTTTTGAAAACCCGTCTCTACTAAAAATGCAAAAATTAGCTGGGTATGGCAGTAGGCACCTGTAATCCCACCTACTTGGGAGGCTGAGGCAGAAGAGTTGCTTGAACCTGGGAGGCAAAATTTGCTGTGAGCAGAGATTGCACCATTGCATTTTAGTCCGGGCAACACAGTGAGGCTCCAACTCAAAAAAAAAAAAAAACAAAGAAAGAAAGAAAGAAAGAAATGGGTGTTAATGGGAGACTAGAAACCTTATTCATCTATTGCCTTTTTGCTGACAAACTTATCACTCAGAATGTGACAGTAATGTATGATGGTTAATTTCATGCATCACCTTCCATCGGCTAAGAGGTTGCTAGATAGGTGGTAAAATATTTGTTCTGGGTGTGTCTGTGAAGGTTTTTTTTGAAGAGATTAATATTTGACTCAGTAAATTTAGTAAACAAGATCTGACCTCGTCAATGTAAGTGGGCTTCATCCAATCTATCGAAGATCTGAATAGAACAAAAAGGCGGAAGGAGGGTGAATTTTCTCTCATCTGAAGCTGGAGTATCCATCTTCTGGCCTTGGACATCTGAAATCTCGGCTCTCGGGCCTTCAGGCTCTGGGACTTATACCTCCTCTCATAATAAATCTCTCTCTCTCTCTCCATCCATATATATGTTCCGTTTCTCTGGAGAAACCTGACTAATACAGTTTGTCAGGTAGGAAAACACATTCCATAAATCTTCAAGTGTTTGTTGAGCTCTCTGTTCTTGGGATTCATTCATATAAAAAAAGTTCACCTCCTCTTTTACCGGTTCATATTCTTGCCTTAGCTTTCCGGTTAAAAAAGAAAAGAAAAGAAGAAGAAAAACCAAAGAATACATAGTAAAATAATATTAAGACTAAAACATAGTATGACAATAAGATTAAAAAGTTTCTATTAAAGAAGAATAGAACTACAATTACAAAAAAGGCCCAGAGGTAAAAGACAGTTAATTACAGCATTAAAGATACTTTTCTGTTTGAGTTTATAATAAAAACTACATAAATATATTTTTTAAAAATTATGTGGGCTGGCAAGCTCATTTTCCTTGATAATCCATTAAGTCCTTTTACTGTATAAAATACCAGGACCTCAATGGGAAAAGACAGATGGATGGGAAATTCACTCACATGGGAAATTGAAATTTTAAAAAGAAATGTTGATACACCCAATGATGAGATTAATTGTAAAATAGATTTTATGTTATCTATGAAAATGATAAGTGGTTTTCTTTACATTTTTTACTTAAAGAACAGCTTTTATATGACCCCAATTATTTATCTTGAGAACAACATATCAGGAAGAGTTAACTTTACAGAAATAGGAGTAGGGTGAGTAATATTTATGCTTGCATGTCCCATTTGTGATTAAAATTCAACCAAGTTAGGAAAGTGGAGAATAAGTACTGCTCTGTACAGCCTATGCCAAGCTGTAGCATGTGATAGAAATGATAGAAATAGATGCCGTGCAGTGGCTCATGCCTGGAATCCCAAAACCTTGGGAGGCTAAGGCAGGAAGATCCCTTGAGTCCAGGAGTTCAAGACCAGCCTGCACAATATATCAAGACTTCCTTTCTACAAAACAAACAAACAAAACAGCTAGGTGTGGTGGTGCCCACCTGTAGTCCCAACCACTTAGGCAACTGAAGTGGGAAGATGGCTTGAACCCAGCAATTGGAGGCTGAAATAAGCTGTGATCACACCATTGCACTCCAGTCTGGGTGACAGAGTGAGACCCAAAAAGAGGAAAGAAAGAGAGAAGGAAAGAAAAAGAAGGAAAGAAATAAAGAAATAAAGAAAGAAAGGAAGGAAGGAAGGAAGGAAGGAAAGAGAAAGAAAGAAAGAGAAAGAAAGAAAGAAAGGGAGAAAGAAAGAAAGAAAGAAAGAAAGAAAGAAAGAAAGAAAGAAAGGAAGAAAGAAAGAAAGGATACTTAAAATAATTTGTACTAGCACCACAGTGGAACTCCTGTAGAATGAGACAATAAAGGATACTAATTGTGCTGTGTTGAATGAGGGCTTCCTAATGATGTTCATGTCCTAATCCCCAGGACCCATGAATATGTTACTTGACATAATGAAAGGGACTTCACAGATTTGACTAATTCAATCATTTGATTTGGGGCATTACCCTGGATTGGCTGGGTGGGACTGACATAGTCACTGGGGTCTTTGTAGTGTAGGAGGCAGGAAGATCAAGGTCAGGAATAGGAGATGGAATGATGGAAACAAAAGATTGGAGTGATACAAGAAAGGGGCCATGAACAGGGAATGCAGGTGGCCACTAGGAGCTGAAAAGACCAGGGAATGGCTTTTCTCCTCATAACCTCCAGAGGAACGCAACTCAGTTGATACCTTGATTTTAGATCTTGATCTCTAGAGATGTAAGAGAATTAGTTTGTCTTAAGTCACCAAATCTGTGAGAATTTGTTGCACCAGAAATGGAAAAGTAATACACCAGTATCGATATGTCTATATGATGAAAACTATTTATTCTAATATTGGCAAATATTTCTGAAATTAAAATGATGAGTGATAAAATTGTTTTCCAGGGGAGTTTCTATGGTCTTTGGAAGAGATTTGTACTCCAAATAACAAAATTGAAATAAAAATAAATAAATGTATTAATAGTCATCATTTATCAAGCACATTCTTGTTTTTCAGGTACTCTGCTAATCTTTTAAATTGTATTAACACATTTAATTGAATTCTCACACAGCAATATGAGCTAAGCGTTAATGTCCATTTTACATAGATAAGAAAATGAGGTCTAGAGAGGGAATTAAGCTAGTCAATAGGAGAGTTTTCCAATGCTGGGGCTGAGTGTCCATCATTTGGGAGTGGGATTGGGAGAGTAAGGGAGAAATAACCTTTTAAAGAAATCAGCTTTTTAAAAAATGTTCCATTCTAGAATGAAAGATAAAATACATCAATTTTTTTGTCAACATTTGCCACTTAAGAAAAAAAGGTTGGGAGGGCATTCTCCATTAATTGCAGAGTATCTTCAAGGATAGCTTTAAATATCTCACTGTGAAGTTCATTTTTAATGTAATATTGACATTGGAAACCAATCCATTAGATAATTGTGATTTTTCTGCCACTATAAATCTGTCATCAAAGTCAGTTTTATGGCATAAGGATATTCCTTTATACTTATTTCACAACTGCTATTAGGTATACCATCTTTTTTTTGCTTTTCTTTTTTTTTAATTTATTATTATTATACTTTAAGATTTAGGGTACATGTGCACAATGTGCAGGTTAGTTACATATGTATACATGTGCCATGCTGGTGCGCTGCACCCACTAACTCGTCATCTAGCATTAGGTATATCTCCCAATGCTATCCCTCCCCCCTCCCCCCACCCCACAACAGTCCCCAGAGTGTGATGTTCCCCTTCCTGTGTCCATGTGTTCTCATTGTTCAATTCCCACCTATGAGTGAGAATATGCGGTGTTTGGTTTTTTGTTCTTGCGATAGTTTACTGAGAATGATGATCTCCAATTCCATCCATGTCCCTACAAAGGACATGAACTCATCATTTTTTTATGGCTGCATAGTATTCCATGGTGATACACCATCATTTTACACATATGTCTACATTACAGGCATATCTTACTTTATTGTGGTTGACTTTGTTGCATTTCACAGATATTGAGTTTTTTTTAATAAATTGAAGGTTTGTGGAAACCCTACATCACCAGCAAGTCTATTGGCACAATTTTCCCAACAGCATGTGCTAACTTTGTATCCGTGTCACGTTTTGGTAAGTCTTGCAATAGTTCACAGTTTTTCATTACTGCTATATCTATTATGGTGATCTGTGATCAGTGATCTTCGCTGTTACCATTGCAAATGTTTTGGGACACCAGGAAAAACACCCTTATAAAATGGCAAAATTAATCGATAAAAGTGTATATGCTGACTGCTCCACCGACAGGTTGTTCTCTCCTCTCTCTCCCTTTCTTCTTCTGGCCTCTGTATTCCATGAGATGCAAAAGTATTGAAATTAGGTCAGTTAATAACCCTACAGAGGTCTCCAAGTATTCAGGATAAAAGAAGATTCACATGTCTCTCACGTTAAGCCAAAAGGTAGAAATAATTAAGTTTAGCAAGGAAGGCACAAGATAAGCCAAAAGCTAGACTACTTGTGTCAAACAGAGCCAAGTTGTGAATGCAAAACAAAACAAAACAAAACAAAACAAAAACCAAAAAAAGAAAGAAGAAATAAAGAAAGAAAAGAAAAAAAAAACCTTGAAGGAAATTAAAAATGCTGCTCCAGTGAACACAGCAGAAGCATAAAGGGAAACAGCCTTATTGCTAGTATGGAGAAAGTCTGTGTTGTCTGGATAGAAGATCAAAACAGCTACAACACTGCCTTAAGCCAGAGCCTGATCCAGAGCAAGACCCTAACTTTCTTCAATTCTGTAAAGGCTAAAAGAGGTAAGGAAGCTACAAAAGAAAAGTTTAAAGCTAGCAGAGATTGCTTCATAAGGTTTAAAGAAAGAAGTCATCTCCATAATATAAAATGTGAAGCATCAAGTGCTGATGTAGAAACTGTGTTATCCAGAAGATTAAGCTAAGATAATTGATTAAGGTGGCTACACTAAACAACATATTTTCAATTAGGTGAAACAGCCTTCTAATGAAAGAAGATGCCATCTAGGACTTTCATAAATAGAGAGGTCAAAGCCTGTCTTCAACGCTTCAAAGGACAGGCTGACTCTCTTGTTAGAGGCTAATGCAGCTGGTGACTTTAAGTTGAAGCCAATGCTCATTCACCATTCAAAAAATTTTAGAACCCTTAAACCTTATGCTAAATCTCCTCTGCCTGTGCTCTATAAATGGAATAACGAAGATGGTATGACAGCTCATCTGCTTAAAATATGGTTTACTAAATATTTTAAGCCCATGATCCAAATCTACTGCTAAGAAAAAACATTTTATTTCAAATTATTACTGCTCAATGACAATGCACCTAGATTCCCAAGAGGTCTGGTACAGATATACAAGGATATTAATGTTTTCATGCCTGTTGCCACAACATTCATACTTTAGCCCATAGATCAAGAAGTAAATTTGACTTTTGAGTCTGATTATTTAAGAAATACATTTTGTAAGGCTACAGGTGTCATACACAGGGATTCCTCTTATGGATTTGAGCAAAACAAGTTAAAAACTATCTGGAAAGGATTCGCCATTCTAGATGCCATTAAGAACATTCCTAATTCGTAGGATGAGGTCAAAATATTACCATTACAGAATTCTGAAGATATTTATTCCAACACTCATTGATAACTTTGAAGGTTTTAAGGCTTCAGTGGAGAAAGTCGCTAAAGATGTGGGGAAATAGCAAGAAAACTAGAATTAAAAGAGAAGCCCAAAGGTGTGACTGAATTGCTGCATTCTCATGATAGAACTTCAATAGGTGAGGAGTTACTTCTTATGGATGCGCAAAGAAAGTGTTTTCTTGAGATGGACTCCTTTCCTGGTGAAGATGTGAATATTGTTGAAATATTAACAAAGGATTTAAACATTATATAAACTTCATTGATAAAGCAGTGGCAGGGTTTGAGAGGGTTGACTTCAGTTTTGAAAGAAGTTCTACTGTGAGCAAAATGCTATCAAACAGCATCGCATGCTATAGAGAAATCTTTCATAAAAGGTAGAGTCAATCCATGCAGCAAACTTCATTGTTGTCTTATTTTAAGAAATTGCTGCAGTTACTCCAACCTTCAGCAACCACCACCTGGATCAGTCAACAGCCATCAATCAGCATGGAGGCAAGAACCTCCAACAGCAAAAAGATTACAACTCCTTGAAGGTTAAGATAATTATTGGCTTTTTTTAAGCAATATTTTAAAATTAAGATATGTGGCTGGGCGCTGTGGCTTAGCCTTTAATTCCAGCACTTTGGGAGGCCAAGGCAGGTGGATCACTTGAGGTCAGGAGTTTGAGACAGCCTGGTCAACATGGTGAAACCCCGTCTCTCCTAAAAATACAAAAATTACTCGGGCATGGTGGTGGGCACCTGTAATCCCAGCTACTTGGGAGGCTGAGGTACGAAAAATCACTTGAACCCAGGAGGCAGAAGTTGCGGTAAGCCAAGATCGCTAACTGCACTCCAGCCTGGATGTCAGAGTAGGACTGCATCTCAAAAAAAGAAGGAAGGAAGGAAGGAAGGAAGGAAGGAAGGAAGGAAGGAAGGAAGGAAGAAGGGAGGGAGGGAGGGAGGGAAGGAAGGAATGAAGGAAGGAAGGAAGGAAGGAAGGAAGGAAGGAAGGAAAAATGTACATATTGCATACTGCTACTTAATGCACACTTACTAGACTACAGTATAGTGGAAACATAACTTTTATAAGCATTAGGAAACCAAAAAGTGCAAGTGACTTGCTTTATTGTGATACTTGCTTTACTACGGTGGTCTGGAACTGAACCTGTAAGATCTTGGAAGTATGCTGGTGTATTGCAATGACAGCGAATTTTTTTAAACAGCATTTCTGAATTCTGGCTTCTTTTACTATTGTTTCCATTCTTTTTTTTTTTTTTTTTTTTTTTTTAGACGGAGTGTCCCTCTGTCTCCCAGGCTGGAGTGCAGTGGCGTGATCTCGGCTTACTGTGAGCTGTACCTCCCAGGTTCACGTCATTCTCCTGCCTCAGCCTCCCGAGTAGCTGAGACTACAGGCACCCGCCACCATGCCCGGCTAATTTTTTGTATTTTTAGTAGACATGGGGTTTCACCGTGTTAGCCAGGATGGTCTCGATCTCCTGACCTCGTGATCCACCTGCCTCAGCCTCTCAAAGTGCTGAGATTACAGACGTGAGCCACCGCGCCTGGCCACTATTGTTTCAATCTTTCTATAACATTTTCTCTCTAATAGTTGTTTATAGTGGAAACATGGTTCCATTTTCAGTGTATAAGACACTCTCAGTGTTGAAAGAGAGGAAGAACAGTTATTCAGTGCAGCACTTCTATACAAGTGTAGATTCATTTCTTAGAGTACAGAAGACATAAGACACAGCTTATTTTTAAAAACTTCAAACAAAATTCCACGATGATGGCTGAAAAGTTTTATAACACCTGGCCTTCTTTTTCAAAAATGGTTTTCATAGCTAACAAATAATCATCCAAATGGGATACTTTTAATACATTAATTTATAATACATGATTGTTTTGTATATCAGATATACATCAATATTTCAATTTATTAATTTTTAATAAGAAATAAAACTTTCTAGGTGACTGGGACACATTTTCAATCTTCTCAGCACATTATTTATCAGGAAGAAGGCTGGGGACAGAAGACCAACTGTTTTTTCCTTAGATCATCTTTTTTCCTAAACTCCAAGTAGACACTCACTATTCTTTTAACATGCAGTTTACTTAGATTTAGTATGTTTATAGAAATACAGATTTTTTAAAACATTATGATCCTAGGCATGGTTCATCTGATTGGCTTTTGCATTTATTAAATTTTAATCAGAAATACTTGTAAACTATTTTTAATAGAATACATTTCCTAGACATTAACTTCATTATTATCTTTAATTCTTCCTCATTTTATGGAAACTTTTACTGTTACAGAATTTATTACCAGTTTGGGGTTTCTTTTTCTCCCTTCCTCTTTACTCATTTCTCTTTTCTCCCTCTGTCCCTCATGCTTTCTTCTAGTACTGTACTTTTTCTAGTTTTCTTTCTTTTCACCTTTTTGTAAAATTCTATTTTTGTAAAATTCTATTTTTGTAAGCTGTATTTTAAAACTGATTTTATGTAATATTTGTTCAAATATCATAAGTATTCTAAGTACCTACTTCTATATTTTTAAGTATATAATGTATTGTTACCTCACACCTGAATTCCAATAATCATAGCAGTATGGGAGTGGGTACTCTTTATAATTTCTTCTTAAATCAGACCAGCATACCTGCATATTCCATGATGTCCACACAAGCCATCCATATCAGCATCAAATTAATAACTCTTGGAAGATTTCTTATTATTATTTCTTATTTTTAAAAAAAAATAATGCCTTATTTATATACTATGGTAAGATGGTAGGGAAAATCTATTCACCAAGATTACAATGTAGTCTAATGCAATCACACATCTTCATGCAACTATAAAATAACAAGTCTGAAGACAGCAGCAGAACCATGGATAGGTATGAGGGAGCAGAAAAAATATGAAATGTGGGAATTGAACACATGGTGGAACCACTAAAGAAGATCTTGATTTCCCACCCCAGGATCTATTACAAGGGAAGTTCTTTGGTGCATATATTTAGAGCTTCTTATTCATATCTAGCAATGGGCTCTTGGGCACACAGCCTGACCTAATATGTAACCCTAAAATAAACCCTTTATAATTGTAAGTCTTAAACTATTTCTTCAAGGTCAAAAAACCAATGAATGGAACTTGATTTTACTTCTCATGCTTACTGAAGTTGAAAATTTATCTTTAGTCACTCATTTGAGAGGTACCAATGATTTTTTTCTCAGACATAGGTGTCAACATGTAGTGTTTTTACTTGAGAATAAATTAGAAAACAATTCTTATAAGATGTCAACTATAGTAATTTTATCATACATATTTTGTCTTTGGGCTGTGAACCACTAAACAAACAATTGAAATGAGATGGGTTACGGGTACAAGGAAACTTTGATTTCAGATTCTCTTTATACAATGAAAAATTATCATAGCACAAAGCATATTATCTCTAAACTTTCAGTGTCTTAGGGCTATTGATAATTGTTCAAGAATAGAATTATCTCAAGAAGTCAAAATATATATCTAGAATTACCACGCCTTGTTATTTTATCTATCAGTGAGAGAAAATAAACACTACAAATTGAATAATTATATGCTATTGCTTTTAGGAAACAACCGAGTTTAAGATATGTCAACATTTTTAAAAAGTGAGCTTAGAATTAGTGAAGTAAGTTATTTCAAATTTTCACTTCCTCAGCTCCTACTGTGTATAATGAAGACTCCCAGATGTCAGAAAGAGTAGAAGAATATGATGACAAATATATAAATTAAATGGTAATAACACAGTTCAAAGGCTAAGCAAATAGTAGATTAAGAATAGTCTTAAAGCCAGTAAATATAAAAACTTGAATAACTATATTTTTCTACACAAACTATAACTATATTTTCAACACAAACATTTATTATAATTTGCATTTAGTTATAAAATCTGAAAAGGTGTATTGATGTAATCAAATAATGAGTTAGTGTAATGATTCCTGGAATTAGCTCTTCCTCTCAGAATGGGCCTATCTCATCATGTGAATCATTCCTGCCTGTCTGTGCTAGTTTTACCTCAAAAGGCATTTTGAACACTGTTCAGCATGTGTGTGTGTCCATGCACACGTGTGTGTGAAAATGGTGTTATTGGTAACATCGTTTTGCTTAAGCACAAAAGAAGATAGTGTATACCAAAGCTATTATTAAAATACATACAGAAATACAATAATAATAATGGAAATGTACTCAAAATCAACTCAATGCAGAACATCATTATTACATACAATGTAAAGATTTGCAAAATTCACTGCCAGTTACCACTAATGACTTTTTCTTTGGTAATAGAACCACCAGATTTGAACTGGACCTAAGAAATACTAGAGGAAAGCTTACATTTTCTAGTATTTCGTTCTGGGTAGTAGCAGAAACAGGATGAAAGCCCATCCAAAATTTGGTTCATATGTTGAAACTGATGATCACACACACACACATACACACACTCCAATAGTGTGTGAGAAGATGTTACTCACATAATAAGGCTTTCTGGACAGGGCAGTGTGGCTCCTGAACAGGTCAGAAAATCATTTGAGAGATCAGTACGCAGACTTGCTTGGGGTTTCTATGGTGTAGGTTTCCTGTGCGTGGGCAGAGGCTTTTATCCTTTGAACCTCCCACTGGATCCAAAGGGGAGAGCAGCCAGGCTTTCTTTCCGTCTTATCCAGGGGAAAACAGAGAGAGGGGTGAGGCTTAAAAACTGTCAGCGGTCAAACAACAACAGCAACAACAAAAACAAAGGCATGATCTTTATTATAGTAATAATATAACTTAGTTTTCTGGTCAGGGGAAGTATGCAAATAATATTTTCAACTTCTAGGAAATATCCTTCAAGTATGAAAGCCCTTCAAAGTCACCATCCCTTTTTTCTTTCCTGCCGGACTGATTGCAGGCTTACTAGTTGGAATTGGAGCTGCCATGGTGAATGACCTTGAGAATCTTCACCTTGAGAATAGACGCCAGCCCTAGAAAAGCCTTTCAGGAAGGGTCCAGAGTCTTGCTATTGAGGAACATTACCTCCTCAATGCCACTGACTCCTGGACTTGTACGAGAGTGACAAGTTAACTTCTGTCTTATTGAAGAAACAGTTATTTTTTGTTTGTTGCTCACAGCCAAACTTAGTTTTACCTGTCACAGCCAAAAAGATAAGGCATGAGAAAAACATTTCAATATAACTTAGACAGCCTGGAATGAAAATATTCCACTAGTAACCATAGGACACACTTATATCATTTCCCATAATATATTTTCCAGAAAGGAGTCTAGTGAGAGTGCAGAAAAGGGAGTGTTGGTAACTACAGGAATGGAAGAGCTTCAAGAAGAGACTATAAAAGTTATGTTATTACAACAAGTAAAGAGAGAGAGAGGTGAAAGAAGCTGAGAAGAATATTTTTGAAACAGAGAACAAGGGTTTCCTCAGAGGGGATCAAGTAGAGTCTGGCAGGAATGTAGGAAAAGCAGTCAATGAGACTGGGATGGTAGTTGGATTGTATTATGAAATCATTACTGTTAAGATCATAATATTGTATGGTTTGTATTTATCATAAGCCATGGATGCATTAGTAGTTGGCAAGTGGTTTTAAATACATAGACCAATATATTAACTAAGTGTTGCAATGAGGTTCTGTTCAATTTGTTTTATTATTGACGCTGGAATAGGAGTTAAGGACAGCCGTGAGGATCTTGGACTGAAAATGAATCTGAGAAATAACAGGTTCAAAGAAACTGTCCAGTACCATACGCTGCAATAGCTTTCTAAGAGGTGGGAGAAAACAAAACAGATTTGTTCCAATTAATATCCAGCTAAGTATTAGGCAGCACATCTTAACATTACTAAAATGCATACATAGGGCTGAGCCATAGATGAAACTATATCTATACATGCAGCCAGCATCTGAAAGGTGTTTTTTTTAATAACTAATTGGAACCAGGTTTTTCTTTCAGTATCGGTTCATCAGGACTGATTAGATAAAGAAAGAATTCCTGTCCTGTGAAGGAAATAGCTATAGAATCAAGATTAAATCAAGGAAAAATCACCTAGGCAGAAGCGTGTCATTCGAACTAAAGCATGTGCAATAGGGACAGAATAGCAGGAACCAGCCAAACAGAAAATTTCCTCAAATATAATTTCAGGCCAGGGATCAATACTAATACATAGTTATGGAAGCTTAGACACATGAAGAAAGAAAAATAAAGATAGAACTATTACATCCTTGGGTGGAAAGTACATTGAGCATGTGATGAGACAAACTAGTAGTGTAAATACAAAATACACCATTGCAAGGCACCTCATCTGAGACAATTAGCTCAGTGATTTAATTTTATTCATATTCCCTGGATCCAGGTAACTTATTATATAATATACAATTTTCCTCACTTGGTACCTTTTCTTCTTTTTCGTATGGTTGTTCTTGATTAGATTTTTTCTGGTCTAGTCCATCAATTTACCTATTTACCTAATTAGCTATCGAGTTCCCGCTACTACTACATTTACAAATGCCTTGGAGACAGAATGTTTTACTCTAATTTGCAACTCCTAAACAACTAAAATTTGTGCATAGTAGCCATTCAAATATATGGAGGAGTTAAATTAAAAAAGATCAAATGCTTCAGAGGTCGATTGCAATGAAGACTTGAAAAACAGTGATTTCATGTAACACACTTTTGAGAGTACTGTCCATGGTCCTGAGTACATCTCTGTGCAAGATGCAGTTTGTGTCTTCTGGGAGTTTACAGAAGGATAATAAATCAAACAAAAGATTACAATATGATTAGTGTTCAGAGGAAGATATTATAGGATAATATGGTGTAACAAAATAGTTTAACTAACCCCTAACTCATTGAATGTGGTGCTAACAGGTCACTTTATTTGTTTCACATTGCTACTACAACAAATTATTCACAAATTTGGTGGCTTAAAACAATACAAGCTTATGATCTTACAACTCTTTAGGTCAGATGCCTGACAGCTGTCTCACTGGGATAAAATCAAAATATTTCCGAGCTACATTTCCTTCAGGATGCTCTTAGAAAGAATTCGTTTCTTGACCTTTTTCAGTTCCTAGAAACCACCTGCATTCCTTGGCTAGTGGCTCTCTCATTTCATGTTTGAAGCCAACAATATGGCATACCTCTGACTCACCTTCATCATCCCATCTCTTTCTTTTATTTTTTAATTAATTAATTAATTTGAGACAAGGTCTTGCTTTGTTGCCCAAGCTGGAGTGCAGTGGCCATCACAGCTCACTGCAGCCTCGAACTCCTGGGGCTCAAGCAATCCTCCTGCCTTAGCCTGCTGAGTAGCTGGGCCCACAGACACCCAGTACCACACCTGGCTAATTTTTTTTCAGTTTTTGAAGACAAGGTCTTACTTTGTTTCTCAGGCTGGACTCAAGCGACCATCCCTTTGTGGCCTCCCAATATGATGGGATTACAGGTGTGAGCCACTACATTCAGCCACATCTCTTTTCTTCCAACCATAGCTGCATAAGGTTCTCCACTCTTATGGACTAAGGTTATACTGGAGGCATCCAGATAATCCAGAATAATTTGCCCATCTCAAAGTCCATAACATTAATCACATCTGAAATATAACTACCTAATTAGCTATCTAATCAATAACTGATTAATTTCTATTCAACAATGGTTGGTTCAACTCATCCTAAAACAAATAATAATAAAACATAATATTAAAGGACGAACCACCATGCCCATAAGACATAAGATGTTTATGTCTTATTTTTAAAGGAGTTAAGTGCTTCACTATAAATGGTAACATATTAGCAGGTACTGAGGATAAGGACATGATAATCTTTGGCCATCATTCTAACTACCATAGACATTGATACTTCTAGAATATCAGTTTTAGTTCAGTGCATGAAACTAGTTGAGAAATGAGTATGTAATGGAGTAGCAAAAACAATGAGTTTAATACAACATTTTGCAAAGGAATTGTGGAATAGTGATTTCAGTGTCAAGGGTAGTTTCTTGTTTTCAGTGAATATGTTTATGTACCAAAGGACAAGACATAACTGTATATTCTAATTCTTTTCTCTATGTGTCACATTTTACTATGGCTATGAGGTCACTAAAATATAAATCCATTGGATGTTGTAGAGTCATTTTAGACATGGCTGAGAATGAGTTAAGTTTGTGGCTTTAAAAAATAGTTTATAGTGCTTTTTGATGATTTGCATATCCATATTCCAGATAATGGTAACTTTGTTTTTTCTTGATTATCTGAGTAGATGTGTAATATCAGGGAGCTATATAAAATAATAAATATATATTTTAGAAAGAAGTAGAATAGTAACAAATTTGTAATTGATTTTTAAAATTTTTAAACATATCTAAAATTCTTAAGATGTTTATGTCTTTTTTTAAAGGAGTTAAATGCTTATAATGATTCAATGTGTTAGATTTGTAAGTCTGCCGTATTAAATTTTCTAGAGAAAAATAAAGTCTATGAAACTTGAAATTTTGGTTTGTAATGTCTAAGGGAACATACTTAATGAAATTTGGAAATCTCATTAAATAATAGAAAAATTATATCTAAAATATGTAAGTAATCCAAAAATTAGTAAAAAGTGCAAGAAAAAGTGATTGGATTTACATTTACAAGTATTACTATATGTTAAGATTTTAATTGTCTTTAATAAGAAAATCTATAAGTTGAGTTTAAAAGCTTAACATAACCCAATTTTTTTTTTTTTTTTTTTTCTTTGAGACAGAGTCTTGCTCTGTCGCCCAGGCTAGAGTGTAGTGGCATGATCTGGGCTCACTGCAACCTCCACCTCCTGGATTTAAGTGATTCTCCTTCCTCAGCCTCCTGAGTAGCTGGGATTACAGGCACTCATCACCATGCCTGGCTAATTTTTGTATTTCTAGTAGAGAGGAGGTTTCACCATGTTGGTCAGGCTGGTCTCCAACTCCTGACCTCGTGATCTGCCCACCTCAGCCTCCCAAAGTGCTGGGATAATACAGGCATGAACCACTGCGCCCAGCCCCAAATTTTAAACATGTAACTTGAATGAGTTTACAATTCATTAGAACATATATTTAATTGTAAGTATTCTGTTTCATGCTGAAGAGGCTTACTGTAATATTAAAATATTGTTAGTTACAAGGGAATGACAAGATATAAAAAACATCATAGTAAGCTAATGTTTATCACAAAAAATTATTATATTAACACAATTTTGAGAAAGGCTAGGTTTTTAACATTAGAGAATTGTGTAAATAAATTAACATCTATCTATAAGCTGAAATGCTTAACACTGAAGAATACGAGTCAGTTAAATTAAATGAAAAAATAGTTTGGGATATTACTTGGTTTTATATAAAATCACACATATAGGAACACAAAAAGAATATTAGGGCCGGGCGCAGTGGCTCACGCCTGTAATCCCAGCACTTTGGGAGGCCGAGGCGGGCGGATCACGAGGTCAGGAGATCGAGACCATCCTGGCTAACACGGTGAAACCACGTCTCTACCAAAAATACAAAAAATTAGCCTGGCATGGTGGTGGGTGCCTGTAGTCCCAGCTACTTGGGAGGCTGAGGCAGGAGAATGGCATGAACCCGGGAGGCGGAGCTTGCAGTGAACCGAGACGAGCCACTGCACTCCAGCCTGGGTGACAGAGCGAGACTCTATCTCAAAAAAACAAATAAACAAACAATATTAGAAAAATACATTACTATATTAACTGTGGTCACCATGGATGTGAAAGAGATTGCTGGTTTTCCTTTATCACTCTTTTTTCTCCTTCCACTTTATTATCAAAATGCAAGCAAGTGTCCATTCAGGATACACACTTCATGTCTGAATCTTACTGTAGCTACGTGACAGTATGTCTAAGTGGCAGTTTTTCAGAACCTTCTTTAAGAAAGTCCAGAGTGATTGTTTGGTCTCTTCTTTGTCCCTTTTATTTCTTGTCACCTAGAATGTGGATGTTATCATCTTGGAGTACAACATGAGATCAAAGTTATTTGTGGCTGAGCACCAACACAGTTAAAACCTGGATCCCTGACAGCATGCGGTGAACTGTTACATGTGGGAGAAATAAACTTCCACCTTGTTTAACTCACAAGAGATATCATCATTGGTGCCTATACCTAATTCTAAGTATGTAATGAGAATACGTTCAATTTTTAAATTTACATTGACCTTTTGTACATTGCCTAGCTTATTGTTAATAATTATTTAATTATAAAATATAAATGAATAGTTCATATTATTTTAATGTTCTAAGCTCAAAATCACATATAATATTATCTACAATATGAACTAATATCCTGTGAAAGAAAGAAAAAATGTAAATTTCCTTAAACTTCTTGAATTTTGACATTATTTTAAAATAATGGTTTCTTACCAATACTAATTGAATTATTTTAATATGAATATCCCCTGCAATTAAGATTATTGTTTTACTTAATACTGTTTCTCTTAAGGATTTTTGTGATACATTTTAATTTTTTGCACAAATTTCTAAACAATGCACAATAACTCAAAACATTATATATGAAAATAACTTTTCTAGAAAATAAAAACATTCCTTTTGCTATATTCTATGAAATATATTTTTCATTTTTTAGCAATTTTGAAACATTTTACAATATTTTAATGTCATGTCAGCATAAAATTAATAAAATATGCTTAGGTCTTATCAATTGCAAGCTGATTACTTTTGATTCTCATATATAAATTATAATTTGATTTAGCTTTCAATGTCTGTAACTTTATTATTTTAAGCTTGTAGTTTCTATTGTTTCATGTTAGTTCTTTTTAAACTTAATTATCATGAAAATTAAAAGAAATAATACTGGGTCTATGTATGCTCACAGCATGAGTGGTTAAGTGCTTCTTTCAGGTGACTGATATTACAAAGCATGTTTTCAGTGATTATTTATTAATCTCCCACTGTGTGTCAGCTGTGATGTTGGGCTGAAAATGCACAAATTAAAATGGTACCGTTTACATGTACTCCTTAGACTCATCACATATTCAGAAGGGGACTCTTATTAAGCTTATGTCATGATACATTTTGCATTGCATCATCACAAGTTTAACTCCTTCCTTAATTGCAAGAAATTAAGCAAAATTAGCCATGTATTAGGTTTAAGACAATACATAATTATGGATCCCCTAACAGGTCAATCATACTACATTTCTTATTTAAACCTGAATGTTATGAACAATATATAAATGTTGAATTAGTAAAATTACCAAATTAAATTATTAAAAAACTAAATAGTCTACTTTTTCATAAGTTGGTAGTATTTACTGAAAGGAAGTGTTTTGTGATTAGGAAAATGTTATTTTCATCGCTAATTTTCAGATCAAAAGAACTATAATTCTTAACATTTAAATTGAAATTGCTGGAAGTAAGTTTATTTAGTTTTTAGTGATATATAATTGCATATATTGATGCGGTATGTGTGATATTTTGATAGATGCATATGATATAATGATCAAATTAGTGTATATAGGAAATCCATCAACTCAAATGTTTATTACTGGTTTGCATTGGGAACACTTAAAATCTTCTAGGCATTTTGAAATATATAATAAATTATTAACTCAAGTCACCCTGCTGTGCTACTGAACACTAGAACGTATTCCTTCTATCTGTCTGTTTGTACCCATTAACCAACCTTACTTCATTCCTCCCCAACACATACACTTTTCCTAGCCTTAGATAACTATCATTTTACTCTCTACCTCAATGACAGCAACATTTTTGGCTACCACATATGAGGGAAAACATACAAAGAAAACAATCAACAATGTAAAGAAACAATCTCTGGAATGGAAGAAAATATTTGCAAAATATTCATCTAATAAATGATTAATATATTAACATCCAGAATATACAAGAAACTCAAACAACAGAAAAAAGAAACAAATAATCCCATTAAAAGTGGGCAAAAGATCTGACAGATGTTTTTCAAAAGATGACATACACATGGCCAACAGGTATATGAAAAAATACTCAACATCACTAATCATCAGGGAAACACAAATGAAAACCACAGTGAGATGTCATCTCACCCCAATTAGAATGGCTATTTAAAAATAAAAACAGAATAAAAAATGATGCTGAGGATGCTGAGAAAGGAAAAATCATATACTGTTGGTGGGAATGTAAATTAGTAGAGCCATTTTGTAAAACAGTATGGAGGTTTCTTAAAAACCTGGAAATAGAACTAGCATGTGATCTGGCAATCCCAATACTGTGTATTTATTCAAAGGAAAAGAAATCAGTATATCAAAGTAATATATTCACCCCCATATTTATTGGATATAATTTTTAATGAAAACTGTTAATTATATTTTATAAAGTCTCTGGTACACAATTGAGGGGATAATGAATCTTAAAATAGCTCATAATTTTGGAAATATTTTAATCAAAGAGAAAGTAACACTCAGTCTGCTATGCTTTTTGCATTAAAAACAAATGAGGTTTGTAAAATTTTGTGGCATTTTGCTAAGACATAGTGGAACCTACTTGCTCCTTCTTACATTTGAAAAGTTTGATAATCCTAGTGGTAGATATGTTAGCCCTGCCATACATGGGTGATAGAAACCTCTCAAGAATTATTTTTAAATTAAATAATGTTGTTAATTATCTTCCTCAAATACCTTAGTAGTCAATATTTTTTCTTTTCCTTTTTTTCTTTACTAGGCGGAGCACAGTGGCCCTCACCTGTAGTACCAGCTACTCAGGAGGCTGAGGCAGGAGTATCCCTGGAACCCATAGCACGCTGTACATGTGCCTGTGAATAGCCACTGAACTCCAACCTGGGAAACATAGCAAGACCTAGTCTCTGAAAAAAAAAGTAACATATATAAATGCTAATTCTAATATATGATTTCCTGTCTGGGCATCAAATATTTATCAGCCCTCAGTAAACATGGTAGTTATATTAGATATTAAATATAACAATGAATATCCATTTGAAAAGAATAAAAAAGATTCAAGCAATTTATAGGAAGAGTTATATATGACAAAATTTTTAATAGTAATAAAATATTTCATTCAAATTGCAAAAGATAAAAAATGTTCAAACAGATAAAGGGTGGAGTTACAAAAGGAAATTTATAAGTCTTTCTCTTTAAAATATTTATTTAGGATAATTGATGAGTAAAAAACCATATATATATATTCACACTGTACAACATGATGTTTGGATATATATTTATATATATACATTGTAGAATGGCTAAATCAAGCTATTTAACATATGCATTACCTCACATACATATCATTTCTTTGTTGTAAGGCACTTAAAATCTGCTCTCATAGCAATTTAAAAATATACAATATATTGTTATTAACTGTTGTCACTATGATATATACAGCAGATCTTTTGAAATTTTTAGAAACAATATATGGAGTACACACACACACACATTTTATTTACACAGATTTTTTTTACCTCCACTGCAACACTTTTTTATGATTTCTATTTTTCAGTCCCTTGTCTTCAGAAAAATAACTATTACAGCAATGCAAAGTAAGCAATGTGTCTTAGATTTTAACTTTCAAAGAGAACTCCTGAAACTTATTGGTTTAGTGAAAGTGACCAAAAGAAACTGCCAAAATCATCCACAATTCCCTACTCTCAGCGACAGCGTTAGGCTTGACTAGGCTGGGAAAGGAAATAGCAGAGAGGAAAGTGCAGAGCAAAGAAGGGTGATGTGGAATCTCAGCAAAGGGATCTTACACCCTGTCTATTTCCTGAAGTTGAGCCCACCAGATTGGATTCTGGAACACCAGTTCAAACACTGGAACACTTGTGCCTGTTCCCACTTGGTGCTCTGGAAGGGTGGTAAGCCCTGGGTAGCAAATCTTCTCTCTCTTATGGTATGGGGGCTTAAAGTAAAGATGGCAGAGGGGTGCCTAGGCTCAAGGAGAGAGGAGCTTAATTTGCTTGTATTCTGAGATGAACAGAGAAGTGGGTGAGAGAGAGAAGGACAGAGACAGTGGCCTGGAAGAGTTTGATGCTAGCAGAATGGATCCTCTAAGCCATAGACAAGTGGAACTGGCTACTTCAGAAGACACCATCATGAAGGATGCTGATGATGTCAGCAGGCACCTCTGCAGAGAAGGGCTGACAATCACTGTTACCTTTTCAGAATATAAGCCCTATTTAAGTAGGATGCTGCTGTATTCCTAGGGCCAACCACACGGTCCACACTCAATAAATATTTGTTGATGAATAAATGAATAATATATTAGCATGGAATATGGAGTCTGCTGAGCCTATATTTGAATCCAGAATTTCACTACTTACTAGCTGTATGTTCTCAGTTCAATCATAAGTAAAATGCAAATAATTCCTTCCTCAACAATAGGCTCATGAATATAAAGAATTTCACACAGAATTGGGCAAATATAGATACTCAAAAATAACAGGTTTAATACACTGTTGGAAATTTATGAGAACTTTTCATAATAGTAACTTTGAGAGCTAGATGGATGTAATTAATTGGGCAATGAATTTCTGATTAGAAAATCCACAAATATTTGAACCTTTATAGTTTTTTTTCCCAATGTTGCATAGAGGGAAATGGTCTCATCAGAGACTAGAAACAGATAAACCAAAAGACAGCTTGAGTAAAGAATGCATACATGTATAAACATGACATCAAAAATAACAATCATATGTTTAGTTTGGTACCTGGGTAAAATCATTCCTAATTCACTGACTTTTCTAACCAATGGTAAACCAACCAATAAGCAGCGACACCTCTGAAACCCCCTGACTCCCAAGCTGCCACTTACTGACACAAACACACTTAAGCCCACATTAGCATACCCTTGCCAGAATACCTGCGGGATTGTGCTGAATAGCCTGAAGTGAAAGACAAACATGAGGCCTGGAGCAAAATTTCTTGATTAACAGTACACAGTCCTTTAAAGAGATCACATAAACTTTTATCTGAAACGTGGCTTGGAGCATCTCAGCTAAAATCCGTTGCTATGAGAGTTGTCATTCAACTTTGGTAAATTCAGTGTGTGATAGATAATAACCTCTGTACTGTTTAATAATAGATTCCCTATTTCTGATGCCAGTAAATAATCCTTACCTTTCTTTGGTGAACAGTTGCTTCATCCCAAAGCCCAGAACCATGTGTGAAAACATTTTAGTAAAGGATTTTCAAGTAAAGCTCACAGATCATGAAGGTCTGACTTCATCAGTGATTGCCTTAGGCTATCTTCTGTGAGCTTTCTGGGTTTTTTTGCATTTTCTTCTGGGGTTGTCATTATCTATCTAACATTTGTAAATATTTCAGAAGTTCGAACTGTACATAATCAATTGTAAATGCTGTGGAGCTAGGGATCTAGCTAGGATCTACGGCTTTGAAGAGGATGCATGATCATTAAAATTATAATCAATCCATTTTCCTTTCTCCTAATATTTTTCCTATACTGTAACATGTTTTGATACAATACATCAACATTATAAAATGACAATGTGATCTTAGGAAAAACTTTACAGGACTTTTTGAAAAAAAAATTGGGAAAAACTGATTTGCTTTCCTTGCTTTTTCACTACTGTGGTTTACCAAATGCTCCAAGGGGTCATGTTGCCTTAAGTGCTGCCCGAGAGCATATTGATTTCCTTCCTCGGGCTGGCTACTCTCACCTTTTGACATCAAATGGGCTATATTGAAGAAGCACCAAATATAGTTTGCAATCCACCATAGGTAAGGCATAAGAAAATATTCATCATTTTAAAAAGCTACACACTCATGTAATGGGCCTATTCTTAAAGATTGTATAATAAGCTGCTGAGAATATTCTTATATTATTTTTGACCAGATCCCTGAATAGTAAGCACTTCATTGTGAATTTATAGCATTAAGAATAAAAATAGAACAACTTTCTTTCCTATGAATAGCTTCTATTCCATTTGAGAACTATTTCATTGGTTAATATGACTACTTCTGCTTTTCGAAGGGCTCTCTATCTACAGAATAAAGCATTGATGAGCTGATTGTAAAATATGGCGATGTTGAAGAAAATAAAACATCTTAAAAGGAGAAATATTCCATGTTCATGTATAGGAAGACTCAATATTGTTCACGTGTCAGTTCTTTCCGTCTTTATTTAACACAATCCCAATCAAAATCCTAAAGAGTTATTTTTTGAAAATCTAGTGTCTAATGTTTATATAGAAAGTCAAAAGACCCAGAATTAAATATGATGATGATGATGATGATAGAAAAAAGGAAGATATGGGCAATGTCCCCAAACTATAGGAATCTGAAAACTGGTTTAACATGGTTTGGACTGGGGTGTTCAAAAATAGTGGGCAACAACAGGCCTAAGGACCTAGTTTGATTCTAATGCATGAGCTTAGCGCAACAGATATAGATAGATACTTACAGATGTACTTCTATATCTATAGCCATATATATATCTCTACAAGATTCTAAAGAAACCTGGAGGCTGGGGGTTGAACAGAAGAAAGGAATAATACATATACATTATTCTGTAAGAAATATCAGAAAACGGATGGGGCATGGTGGCCCATGTCTGTAATCCCAGCACTTTGGGTTGCCGAGGTGGGCGGATCACTTGAGGTCAGGAGTTTGAGATCAGCCTGGCCAATATAGTGAAACTCCGTCTCTACTAGAAATACAAAAATTATCTGGGCACGGTTGTGCATGCCTGTATTCCCAACTACTGGGAAGCTGAGGCAGGAGAATCGCTTGAGCCCAGGAGGCAGAGGTTGCAGTGAGCTGAGATTGCACCACTGCACTCCAGCCTGGGTGACAAAGAAAGATTTTATCTCAAAAAAAAAAAAAAAGTTTTACATATACATATATATATGTATATATATGAAAACTATTGAAAAGAATTGAATGTGTGGTATTAAGAAAAGAAGAAAATTGGTATCTCATCTAGTATCATAGTTGGTTTCATGCTGCTTTCTTATGGATCCATTGCTTTGGGAGAAAATAACTTTTTCCCCTAAGTGAAATCATAAAAACAGCCAGAGCCTTTTTATTTTAAACATTCTTTCAAAACACACAAAAAAACAGGTATTAGAAATTATGAGAAAACTTGGAAGTATATTTTTCTTTTACTCTGAAGTAAACAGTTGAAATCCACGCATTCATAGCCTGCTACAAAATACTTTTCAACTTCAATGAGTTGGTGGTCTCTGTTGGATCCCACTAGACTAGTGTCCATTAGAGCAATTAGTTCTTATTAGCACACTTATTGTCAAGGTTTTATAAGAGCCTGAGAATGGATGGGCAGAAAAAATAATCCCTTTATCTCCACTAGTGCTGAACCCTTCAGAAGAGAAGACTGAAAGATTCTTATGAATCTGTGAGGTAATTTCACTGCCACTAGCCCATTGGCAGCAGTAACAGAGATCTGTCTCCTGATTCCCGCCTACAGCTCTCATGAGCATGATCTTCATTCCAGAAATGGAAAATAAGATTCCAAAGAAATGATCATGTTATTTACCTTCATGGTTGAAAGCTCCCGAGGAATTCTAATGCACATTTTACATTTTAACACAATGAAAACCACTAAGTTCTCTTGCATTTCTCATTAATATGGTTCAATGAAATAAGCAAAGTGTTTCTTACGCAATGTATTAATAAGTTTGCAAAATGTCCTCAAGTTTAATAGCCAATAATGTTTCTCAAACCTTTTCTTATACATCTAATCAGAAAAATATTTTTTCATCCCAATGTGGGTTAGAGAAATACACCCTGAATGAGTGTTTAAACCTACTTTGTATAGTATAATTTTTTTCCTCTTTATTGAATGATTATAAACTCTGAGTACGACTGTGACTAAACAGTAAAAATCAATTTGATATCATAATGTGTAGGACATTTAAAGATATTTTATTAGTATAAAAGTTATAATTCCATTATTCCTATTCTTCAATTAAATTGAGAACTATTTCATTGGTTAATATGACTACATATTGTATTGTATTTATTTAATATTATACTCCCCAAAATATATAGGGTTAAGAAAGCAATTCAAATTTTAGTTAAAATTATCTTAGAATCATAAACACAGGTAGAAAAAAATTAAGAAGTACTCCTAAAACAATATAACATGGTGAAATTATTTTAAAAGAAAATGTGTCAATATTTGTTAAAATTAAAATGACTACGCCTTTGGGAATGTGCTGTAACTAAACTGACACAAGTACTTAAATTTGTGGATATCCTTTTAAATTTATTTTGCTAGTTCTAACAATTCTGCCAACCATATATATATTACACACACATATGCATACACACAGGTGGCATTTGTCTATATATGTGTGGCAGAATTGTGTGTGTAGTATCATATATGTATTACATATGTGTATATGTGTATGTGCATTATAAAACACAAATGTATATACCCCTCTGTATATAGGTAAATAGATAGAGATGTATGTATACATAGATATACATGCCTATATTCAACTATGTACATACGTATACATAAATACATATACATTGGTAACACATATATAATGGATATATTGTATAGGTATATGCACACATACATGTATTATACACAAAAATACTGCATGTATATAGGTAGATAGGCATATATATGTATATACATATATATACACAGGCATATATACACATATATTATGTATAATATATGTTATGCAGGCATATGTACACATACATGTACATATATACATATTCATAGGTATGTACATAGGTAAATAGCTAGATATATGTATGTGTATATATACCTATGTATATACATATCTATGTGTTTATATATACGTATATGTAAAATGTATATAATACATACATAGAGATACGTATATACATATCTGTCTTTCTATATACACAGCCATATGTGTATATGTGTGCGTGTGTGTATACATGTTTATATGGGAGAATTATTAGAATTAGCAAAAAAATGAAATGGTTGGCAATAAAGTAAATATTGATCCTCAACAGACACTATACTATTGTTTACTGTGTAATCACTAAGATAATGAATTATTGGTGTATGTATTAATGTGGAATAATGTTTACATTATAAGTGTAAAAATTATATAATAAAGTTTTGAAAATAGCACATGACTGAAGAAAAAAGTCATTTGGTTTCCTCTTTATGTTCTTATGCACTCTTATAGATGTATTTTTTATAATTATAAAACTACATTTCAGTGAAAAACGCGCAGAATAGACTATCTTAAATTCAATTACGAACAAGTTGAGAAATAAACTAATGAACAAACAAATGGTATAAGTAAAGATTGGCAACATCAGCAAGAACATCAGAATTTTAAACAATATGACTTGGTATATTTTCTACATTGCTGAATGTATTAAATATGAGATATTCAGGAATGGAGGTGATGCCTTGTAAATGTTTAAAAATGGTATTTTTTTCTTTCAAAATATTTAGTGTCTACAATTCATCAGTGAACCAAGTAAATCACGGCTTCTTCAAGTGCAAGGATCGAAACCAATTACCATTAGTGACCATCGGGTGCAGCCGATCCTTTCTGTCCTGTTGCCTGAATCTCAATGATCTCCCAAGTGTGCCCATGCAATTTAACAGAAAGATCAATATACCACAGCAGTTAGCAGCAGCTCTCTTGAAGTGCTTCACAAAACATGCTACATTTCTCTGCTGAATAAATGTCAAAACATTCCAACAGCTACAATTCTTGGGAGAAATCATTCTTCTGAAACATTATTGACATACTTTAACCCACATTTCCCGCTGCTCGCAGGCTTCCTACTGGCCAGTCAATTCTGATTTGGCAAGAGCCACATCGACATGTGTACCCTGCTGACTTACTCAGTTGGCATAAAAGATATCAGAATCTGGTAGATAGGTCTTGGGGTTCAAGGGTCAGTGGTCTAATGCTGACCCAAGGTCAAGGTGATGGCAACCTCTCTCCAGAGACTTGGCTTCATTTCTAATATGCCCTTGAAACCGATCAATATCATCACAGAGCTTGCCTTCCTAAGCATAAAAGACCTCCTGATCTAAAGGCTTCTGAGTTACTTCTGGCAAACCAAAAGCTTAAAAGCTGTGTCAGAGCATAGTGGAGCAGACTTTATTTCTCACTTCTTTGAGACACTGACAGTGATTACAGTTCTTCAAATATATCTATGAACTATGACATATGTCACATATATATTTATATATGTATATATGAGAGAAAAAAATAAATTTGTTTTCATTAAATGAGTTTTTTTTTGTTAGTTCACATCAAAAGCTCTCACATTGTGGCCACATTAGTCTAATTTTCATATAATGCTCTGATGTTTTTGAGAAGTTTTTGGTAGTTGCTGATATCTGAAATGGATATTTTTCTTTGATGTTTGTTTTGTTTTCCTTTGTTTTATGTCCTTTATAACAACTCCTTCCCTTCAATCTTTCTGTAGACTATTTTATTTGGAAATATGAAAATCTTCCAGTGTGAGAAACATTTCAACGTAAGTATGAGCAGCAAACCATTGCAGTCAGTGTAAGCTTTATTTTTCTGTTCATAAGAACAAGGACACATTAGGGCTGTCCACCGGCTTAATGACCCTGGAGGTGTCACTGCTGATGGGCAATAATGAAAATAGTTATCCAAATGATATAAGGTATAACAACTATTGTTCTACCAAAATTTATTCTTTAAAGATTTTTGGAAACCAAGCATAATATTATTTACCTAGAAAAGACTGTAACTTCCGAATAGAGCACCTTAGTTTTACTAATTCAGAAAGTTATAACAGGTTCGGTGAATCAACTGCTGCATTTGGCTTTTCACACAGCTCTGCTGGTAGTGTTTATTGGGTCTACACTTAATATAGATTTATTCAGTGTTAGTTAATAAGAAAGAAGAGGTCTTTACAAAAAAATAAAGTATTATCTTTATTTTCTTTCAGGTACAAAATTATTTTATGGAGTAAATAAATGTATATAATTGTTAAAACATTCAGCAGTGGTAAGGGAGATATTAAGGCTCTTTGCCTTAATTTTTCCCAACAAATATCAGCAATTGCAGTTTCAGTGATACATTTTTCATTGACTCCACTTAAAATTACACACTCTTGTAAGCAGACAAGAACCTCTTAATATTACCCATTATTAATTAATATACCCTGAAGAGAAGATATAAAGCCAACATTTTCATAATTATTTTGTATTACCCTTTTTTCAGAACATTTTTCAGACATGATTTAATATAAAAATGGAAAAATTACATGAAGTTTCAAATATAACTTCTTCAGGAAAGCAGTAACTAGATATTTCAGAAAACGATCAATGTCACCCTCTCTCTTTTTTCAAATGCACACACACACACAATCAATAATACTCTAAATAATTATTTTATATATGTATTTTAGGTTATGAAAACATATTATTGAGGTAATGTGCAAGAATTACATATAGCCACAATGTCACCAACATGACATGAGATTAATACAATAATAACCAAGATAGACATTACCACACCTACTCACAAATATACACACAAGAAGAGTCCTTGACTTAAATTCTGAGCCCTAGTAGTTAGCCAAAGATTTAATTATTATAATCTTGTTTTAGCTAATTCTTACACTTCTATAAAGAAACATCTGAGACTGTGTAATTTATAAAGACAAGAGGTTTACTTGGCTCACAGTTCTACCAACTGTACAGGAAGCATAATGCTGGCCATCTGCTTGGTTTCTGGGGAGGCCTCAGGAAACTTAACAATCACTGTGGAAAGCAAAGGGGAAGCAGGCACGTCTTACATGGTGGGCGCAGGAGGAAGAGAGAGAGAGGGGAGGTGCTACACACTTTTAAACAACCATATATCATGAGAACTTACCCTCGATCATGAGAGTTACACCCGGAGGAGTGGTGGTAAACCATTAGAAGCTGCTGCCATGCTCCAGTCACCTCCCACCAGGCCCCACCTCCAACACTGAGGATTACAATTGAACATGAGATTTGGGTGGAGACACAGATCCAAACCATATCAAATCTTACATAGTTTGAAAATTTCATAAAATCACATGTGTTAGATAAATTGCCAATCTTATTCTATAACCTGGAAGAAAATGAAATCTAGCCTATGTTAGATGAAGATTCTTATGATTAATATACTGACGTTCATATATATTTTGTGTTCCATATTTTTAAGTATTTTGAGGGCAAGTTTATTTTCTCCTCTATGCTATACAAAATATATCTTAATTATATGTTATGCCCCTTATGAATGCTTACTACCTTTGACATCGCCTTTGAGAATCTAAATAACCATTTCTTGAATGTTCACATTACATTTTTTATATCAGTTAATTTTCATATCACATTTTGAAGTAGATATTTTAGTATTCTATATCAGGAGCAGGAGGCTGTGAAAGTTAAGAAATTATTGTATATACATTTTTCTTCTACTTTTTTTTTTTTTTTTTGAGACAGAGTCTCGCTCTGTTGCCCAGGCTGGAGTGCAGTGGCGCAATCTCAGCTCACTGCCACCTCTGCCTCCCTGGTTCAAGTAATTCTCCTGCCTCAGCCTCCAAAGTAGCTATGTGCCACCACATCTGGCTAATTTTTGTATTCTTAGTAGAGATGGGGTTTCATCATGTTGGTCAGGCTGGTCTCGAACTCCTGACCTCATGATCTGCCTGCCTCGGCCTCCCAAAGTGCTGGGATTACAGGCGTGAGACACCAGGCCTGGCCTTATATTTTTCTTTTATACAGACAAATTTTTGCTATGTTGCCCAGGCTGTTCTTGAACTCCTGAGCTCAAGCAATCTGCCCATCTAGGCCTCCAAAAGTGCTGGGATTACAGGTGTGAGCCACTGCACCCAGCCATATTATTGTATATTTAGTTTCTAAGCTCAAGGCTGTCTTAACCCAAAGCCTATCCTGTTAAGCAATATACTATTCTAATGCCACCTCACCAAGAGTAGCTGAAGGTGATAGGCTCATGGCCACCAGAAAGGAGAATTCTTAACAGAGGGAATTGATGCCTTATCTATCAGGTCTGGAGATGACAGTAAACTAGGCAACTATCATGACAGTAAACTACCTAGGCAAAATATTAGTGAAATATACAGGTAGAACAAAGTCTTTCAGAGTAAAAAAAGGATGGCTTAGCTCGCATGTACCCTTACTTAGGAAGCTACTGCAAAGCTCAGTAAATTGAAGAAAGGGAAAAAACAAAGTACGGTGACCAGGACAGGAGTAAAAAGAAGCCTCAAGTTGGCAGCTGTCCAGGAGGTCCAGAGAGCAACCTGCACCCACTGGTTTTGTAAGACGGTGTTGAGAGAAGCCTCCTGCATGGGGCAGGGTTCCGGCAGGATTATGTGATGATCTGTTGGATCATTTAGAGCACAGTAGAGAAATTGTTTAATAGGTACAAAACTACAATTAGAGAGTTCAATGGGTTCTTGATTTCAGTAAGTTCTAGAGTTCAATAGCCCAGTAGGGTGACTGTAGTTAACAATAATATTTTTGCATCTTTTAAAACAGATATACAAGAAGGTTTGGAATGTTCCCAGATACAAAGATTAAAGATTGATGAATGTTTGAGATGACGGATATCTCAATTACTCTCATTTGATTATTACATATTATACGCATGTATCAAAATATCACATGTGCCCCCAAAATTTATACAATAACTCTTATCAATTATAAAAAATAAAAATAAAGTATTAATTAAAAACAAAAAATTGAAGTAAAACAATAGGAGGTATATAATAAAATATAATAAAAAATAAGATAGCAACTACTGTATGGAAAAACATTGAGTGAAGAAAAAGTACTCATAATACAACTTGGGTCAAGTATGAGTAACATTAATATTGTCATAGGAATGTTACCCTCTGCAATATATTTTAGATAACATTATGATTATTAGGGCTATAAAGTTAAAGAAAACAAAAGGTTTCTTTTCACACAAAGGTGACAAAAAATAATATAAAATGTATACTTCAAGTAATAAAAAGATGACTTATATTTAGGAATACTATATCCTCAAACAATTCACTCACAAAACACCCACAAACACACACAGCTTAAAGGATTCGATGTGTTTACGTCTAAGAATCAGCAAGTAATCTGTATATTATCATAATCCTCTTAGTAATTGTTTATGGCCAGGTTCCCTAGGAGCACAGCCTGAGATAGGGATTTCAGGGCACATGCTTTATTAAGAGAACATTCCTCTGCAAAAAGAAATAAGGGAAGTAGGATAGAGTAAGCAAAGGATGTCTTAGCTGGAGGGTACTTTGGTCAGATCCCACTGGGAGCACTGGATGTAACCTCACCACATGGTGATCCCTGCTTGAGGCAGAGGACCTTCTGGACCCTTTGTCAACCAGTCCATGTCTGCAGGCTGCCCTTGTTGGGGAAGTGAGGAGTGAACTTGGCCAGAACTGTTCTTCTGAGAAGGGGAACAGCTGTGATCCATTAGCAGCCAGAAATGACGGTGGCTGGGGGAGGGCTGCCCTGGGCTGGGAAGGGAATCTGGGTGCCACATGAACATCTACTGGAGCAAAATGTAATTTTAAAAATTATATGCCTATGCATTTGTTTTAGTTACTTAAAATTAATCTTAAACAAAAATAGATATGTATTATAATTAACAACATATGCGTTAAACAAGAAGCAAACATGAATTTTAGTTGATTATGAAGTTAATATGTTTATTAAAGAGTATTGTGTAGCACCAACCGCATGATTGATTTCATTTCCATCCCATTTTCTTGAGAAGATGGAGGTGGTCTGTCCTAACCTGCTTCTTGTAGGTTACAAGTCGAAGAACCAATATGGTAAGGTGACAGGAGTGAATACTTAAAAGGATAAAGTGCAATGGTAAGGTGCTCAAACACCTGCCATTTAAGAGATAGGTGAAGAAATTGGTGGTGTTTTGCCTGGAAAGGTTTATGAGAGATAGGATAGCTAATAATACTTCAGTTATCTTTCTATGATTTCAGAGGTTTTCAACATGAAAACAGTGAATATTATGGGAAACATATTTTAATTTAAGCTAAGAAGAGGTTGTCTGACATGACCCAACTTTGGGCTTGATGAGACCCCTGCCACAGGATACGTACACAGGTCAAACAAGTTAGTGATGGAGAATCAATGACAGAAGGCAACCATAGGAAGGAGAAAGGTTCATTCTAGGTAGCCTCTAAGGCACCTTCCCACTTTGGGTGTCAACAACCCAATGATACTTGTATAGAAGATAATTATGATGAGAAGGTGATCCTATTAGGCCAATTCATCTTAAATATTCTGTGATGCCATAAAACTCTCTTTGATACTTTTTATCTTTCTAAAAGATTTAATAAAGAAATTCTGGACCCGCTGCAGTGACTCACGCTTGTAATCCCAGAACTTTGGGAGGCTGAGGAGGGTGGATCATGAGGTCGAGAGTTCAAGACCAGCCTGGAAAATATGGTGAAACCTGTCTCTACCAAAAACAACCAAAAAATTAGCCAGGCACGGTGGCAGGTGCCTGTAATCCCAGGTACTCGGGAGACTGAGGCAGGAGAATTGCTTGAACCCAGGCAGCAGAGGTTGCAGTGAGCCAGATGGTGCCACTGCACTCCAGCCTGGGCGACAGAGTGAGACTCTGTCTCAAAAAAAAGACATTCTGTAGGATTCCACTCTTTCTGCCCACAAGTGGTAAAACCACAGAAACTATATTATTTGGCACATAATATTGAGGGCTCTGCAAGTTCCTAAACACTCTTTTGGGAGGTGGTGATACAGCTTTGAACAAGACCAAGAAGGGCCTTCTGTCTTGCATTCTTTGGCTCATCAGGCAGGCAACAAGGAAAAAAGAGATGGAGATATTCTCATCAAGCCCAAAAAAGAATTAGAATTATGAATTCCATGTCAAGACCATTCACAGTAAATAAATAAAAATAATAATGATGCTTGGAGTAAAAGGCTCAGCACAGATAAATATGTTGTCTATCATGCTGCATAGCTTATCCAATCAAGCTTTGTGATAATTTTATTTGAATGCTTAATGTAAATTATCTTTTGTAATTTAAAATATTTTAGTGACCAAAGCACTTTAAAAACTTTAAAATCTTTGTTTTCATGGATGGAGTGGTAGGCCCACATGTTGGGGTAGAATTTCTAGCGGTATGAGTGAAGGCAGAGAATGGTCAGTTTGACAGTGGCAAGTTAACTCTCACCATTTGTTAGTTCAACATTGGGTTAAAAAACAAATAATTCTAGTGTTGTCCTGGGCAAAGAAGGCTTGCGTTCTCCAGTTTGTTAAAGGCTCAGCTGTTCCCTATATGACCCAGCCAATCACTTCCTATGTTGGTTGCCTGCCTGACACAACTCAGAATGATCTGTAAGTTCCATGAGTCAAAGAGCTTGGTTTTTCATTCTTTTTACTTTTCTCATCATCCAAACATCTGGATTATGCCTAGTAGGCACTCTTTTCATTTGAGGGGATAGAATAATGTCTTTCCTTCCATATTTAGTTTTTATGGATGGTTTTTATAAGATTTAGCAAATGTCAGCCATTTTTAAAGTTATGTTGGGACTAAATAAACCAGAAATATTATTCAACACATTCAGTTCATCTTGCTGAAGACCAGCACAAAAATATTAGAAAAGCTCATTTATTCTTTCCAGAATGATTAACTGATGGCTTTATGGTTGTATGCTTTTTACTAGCTATTGAGGATTAGAACGAACTCACTGTCCATGCCCATATCCTCACTGCATGCTGCATTCTTGAAAGGGAGAGTCCACACATCCTATGCATGGTGTCACATATCATCGCAACAATGGGTATGAGTGGAACAATTCACACACAGTGCTGATTTCCTAGGCATTCATAGGTCACTAGGCCTTTTTATTTTTTAAAAAAGAGATATTATTTTAACAATTTCTTTCAATTATCAATAAAGAGGATTATTATTCCTCGATAGAGTTAATAGAGGGTAAAGTTGATTTACATCAAATGCTCAGAAGGGTGGTGCTGTAATGTTATCATGTATCTAGAAAACATGATTGAAATTGTCACATTATTTAATAATAAACACATGTGAAACAGTATTTTGGCATGAAGTAAGAATAATAATCAATCCACTTGCGGTGAAGACTATGTCTACAACAAATACTTGGAATGCATTAACTGTAGGTTAGCACTGCCATAAAGCTATACTTCGTTTTTTGCTTATAGTGAATTTTAGTTTCTCTTTTAATTAAATCAATAAATTGTCCTTCCTGCCCAAAAGGTTAACCCAAAAGTACCATTCTAATAGATTTCTAAAAGAGCTGAAGGAAACACTGTAATCAGATGACTAAGAAAACATGTTATATTTCCTTGATAAATAAATACAAAAAAAACAAATGTTCCTTCTCCACCAGGTCAGCCTGCAATAGTCTTTTCACACACAAGATAGCTAAACATAAATGCAATATCAGAAACTTCAATTTTCTATAATTGCAACATGTTTTAAATGAATCTAGTGTTTTAAAAAATCTATCAACAAAAAGACAAAATGGTGGATACCCATTTCCAAGCTCTTAAGGAAATAAATGAGACTAAGTCCATGACCAGGCTTAAGATTATGCTGAAGTAACAGCTGTCAATAGAATGGGAATGTTACAGAGCAATCAATGGGCTTGCTGTCTGTTGCACATAGAGGCCAATTACATAGCACTGTCTTTTGAGAAAAGAAAAGCTTTATTGCAAGTCAACTAACAAGGAGACAGGAAGAAACGCTCAAATCTGTCTTGCTGAGTTGGAATTTGGGTCAGGTTTTATACGTGTAGGATAATGAGGTGAGATCTAATTGAATTTTGCAATGAGGTGATGTCAGGGTACATGATGTGACTACATCCTGCCTTGGGGTAGTGCCAGAGCTTAATCTGATTGGAACCTGGGTCCAGACATGTTATGTTCACTTCTTAATTCAGTCTCCATTTCTTGGTCTGAGCACTTAGGTTCCACCCATGGTTGCAGTTTGGTTCCTCTGAGCATGCTCAAATTATATGAACTTCAACCTGGGGTCCACTGCAACTGAAAAACAACTCATAGCTTTGTTACATAAAAGTTCAACCAGAATGGTCTGATGCAGTTACAGGAAGACTGTTTCTTAGCCAAGGTTTCCTGAAAGCATAGCTGAAATAAAGTTTTACTGAGGGGGTCTTCTCAGAGTTGTCCACCTGGGGGAAGATAGGCGAAGGCTCTTACCAACTGGCTCCCATCCCTATCCCAATGGCTGAGGTTGTCTCATGGGCATGGACTCTCTCACACTTTCAGGGTGCACATGTGCAAATACCAAAGATGTGGTGTTAAAGCAACCCAGAGAAGTCAGTAAGAAATAAATGGCACAGCTGAGGTGCTCAAAGCCATTGGAAGCATGTACAGAATTGTTAGCCATATCAATAGTATTAATCAGAAAGGAGGCCATCAGTTTGTCATATACGGAGCCCAGAAATTTCACTTACCACCACCACCTCACAGACCCTCCGTGGAGAGTGAAAAATCCCCACTACATGGTCATCATACTGAAGTTCTCTGTTACCCATGGGTAAGGATCCCTGGGTCCAGATATCAGCTCTATAAACTGTTATGTGACTTAACTTCTTTCTACTGCAATTTCCTCATTATTAAAATCAGATAATTAAACTTACCTTACAGTACTGCTTTAAGAATTAAGTTACTTAAAATAGGCAAAGCAACTAGAGTAGTACCAAGGACATATAAGCATTAAATATATATATATCATCTATGAATTATAATGCATCTGTGTATTGATTAATCAGAATATCTGAGGTAATGCCAATGATGTTTATCTTGAACTGATTGAAAGGATCAGGAAAAGGGAAGGTTTTCCACTTATTCATTGAAAGGAGACTTGAATAGGATGGTCAAGTATGGTCTACAATTCTTCTAGACCTGAGTATATGAGGGAAGGAAATGTCCAAAAAAAAAAGGGGGGTGTGTGTGTGATGGAACTGAGGATACAAGCCTTATTTTTGAACACAGAGCAATGATGTCAGGATAAGTTGGCATTTGGAGAATTATTTTGTGTCTATTCCATATTTGCTTTTCAAGACATCTCTATTACACCATTTAATATTGTTTATACCAATTCCCAAACAAAACGTTCCCTTGAGGAAAAGTTTGCTTTTGTAGAAAAACAAAGAATAAGAAAGAAGAGGAGAGTTGCCTTTTCATCATGGCTGACAGCAAATTTGGAGCAAACTGTTGTACTAGGGATTTTCTGAGAAAATGACCTTTTATAACAAGGTATAACTGACTATATATGTCTTGATAGTATACTTATATATTTTTCTTTTAGGGCCTAGCAACTCCATATATAATTCCAGAATGGGAAACTTTACCATACTGTGAACTTTTCAAAAAAAGAGACTTTCAGGCCGCACCTATGACCCACTAAATCAGAATCTGCATCTCAACAAGATTCTCACGTGCTGACTAAAGTTTCAGAAGAGCTAATATAATGCGTGTTGTTCAAAACGAATTTTGAAATGGATGCCTATAAGTAAATATTTAACTTCATAATTGCTGCTGAAGTAAACTTAGGTGAACTTTCTCCACAAACATTCTAAAAACACGCTCTGAATTTTTATGTGTTCCAGTTTTTCTCTACTTTCTTTACCAAACAGAAAACGACTTCAAATATTCTCTTCAGTTTAAATTTTGTGACTCTGTCTATCTTTGCCATTCTTATAGGATTGAGATGAGCCAGCAGTCTTTGTAACATATTCAATGGGAATATTGGAAAGGAGGTATGGAAAGAAATAAAGATCAGAGACACACAAAAGTGCATATTTTCATACTATTGTTTGATATGGTTTGGCTCTGTGTCTCCACCCACATCTCATGTTGAATTGTAATCCTCAGTGTTGGGGGAAGAACCTGGTGGGATGTGATTGGATCTTGTAGGCAGATTTCTCCCCCTGCTGTTTTTGTGATAGTGAGTGAGTTCTCACAAGACCTGGTTGTTTGAAAGTGTGTAGCACTTCCCCTTTGCTTCCTCTCTCCTGCTCTGCCATGGTAAGATGTGCTTGCTTCCCTTTCATCTTCTGCCATGATTGTAAGTTTCTTGAGGCCTCCTAACAATGCTTCCCGTACAGCCATGTGGAACTGTGAGTCAATTAAACCTCTTTTCTTTATAAATTACCAAGTCTTAGGTAGTTTTTTATAGCAGTGAGAACAGACCAACACATCTTGATTTCTACTACATTATAATTTTCATAATTCTACTATTCTCTCATTTTCTTACAGCTCCAAGAATAATGAATAACAGCATACTTATATATTTATTTCTATTCATGAGCAGAGAGGTAAACAGAAGTCAAAATTATCTATTTTTTGTTTTTTATTTCCAAAAATCAGCTTTACTCGTATACTTACTCCAGTGCTATTTATTGACGTTTCCTTTATATAGTCAGATGCATAGAACTGATCCTAATGATATTTTCCTATGGGGTTATTTATAACCTTGATATGTATGCAAACTCTGGCCCACTAGTGAACTCTGCCCTTTGTAATTCTGATAAACAGATTTATAATGCAAACTCCTGCTTTGTTTATTAATTTCTGAAGAATAAATCAAAATGATGAGCATGAGCTGTTTTCCCAGTGTTCTTGTCAGGATTACATTTATTACATGGAAAAAAAAGAAAGTTTAAACTCTTCATAAGACTATATGCCTCACCAAGGATTTTTTTAAATCAATAAATGTTAAAATAAAATGTAATGTTTTTCCTGAAAAAAATTGAATGAATGCTTGTGTTCATTCTTGATTGAAACCTAAAGTAAATTATCCCTCAGAAGCACAGTTATTTTGTATAAAAATAAAAACATTCTAAGAAGTTGATAGAGACCATGGACAAAGGTAAAAACTTTCTATCTCAGTACCTTTTACATATCTTTACCCTGCCTTTGAACAAGGAACCCCAGTTTTCATTTTGCAGTGGGCCCTATAGTGAGTTGACACTCCACTGCTTAACACCTAGCTCCTGTATCTGCTGTGGATCAGGTCAAGGTGTTTAAATTGTCAGCAGAACATTTCTTGCCTTTCAGCCCCTTACCCCACCCCATTTAGATATATGCAGCAATCACTGGTTTTCATTTATTTGGAAATAATACCAAAAATTTAAAAACTTTATTTTATGGAGATGCACTTTATTAGAAATGAGAGAGGATGGAATTCAAAAAATTTTCACTGCCCTTTAAAGAAAAACTAGAGTTAAAATATTGTTAGGAGGGATGTCAGTAGGTGCCTAGTCTCCTTCTCCATCTTCTTAGGGAGATGTGCAGGTACAGTGACCACCCAGTCTAAATTACCTGGGAAAACTCCAGTGTCCACTTATGAATCTGGAATAATTATCAATAACCCAACCCCCTTCAGATGTGTTCAAACTGTTATGGCTTGCATGATTCATTACATGATCACCACACACATGGACAATAAGTGCCATGATCAGCACAGAAAAGGCAGGAATTAACAAAAGTGTGGGTACCTACTTTCAGAATTTCTAATTATTATCCTTCCAGAACACTAGAAACACAAAAACGCACCATGGTGATTTTGTGAGCTATTGCCTCGTGTAGTAACACATTGTGGCATTCCCTTTCAGGAAGACAATTTTCTTGGTCCATGGTACACAGCTCTGTGTTGAGTAGTTTATTTTGGTACAGAAACAGGCAAAGCCCATTACAAATAACATCATGTGCTAGAGGCATGGAATGAGGATTTGCAGAGAAAGAGGGGCAGACACAGAAGTGCAATGTAGAAGTGGTGAATAGATTAGAATGTGAAGTGGAGAATATTGGAAAAAGTATAAATATTCATCTGTATGTTGGCAGAAAGAAATTGCAGAACCAGGTCTTTATTAAGACCTAAAAGACCCCTGATTCAGTAACTAACTGCACAAGTTAAACAATTTTCAGTTGCAGGAAACAGAATATCCCAAATCAACTCAATCTGAGGAAAAAAAGAATAATGGTTATGAAATATATTGACTAAAACATAAGACACAAAGGTGGAATAAGGTTAATTCTATACATTGTCCAATAGTCACTACATTTTTTATTTCCTTCTCTCAGTTTTGCCTTCCACAGTCTAGCACTGAGGTTAAGCACTGAGGCTGACTTCTCTTGTATTTTACAGCCCTTATTGCAAACTTTCCATGAAGAAGATTTTTTTTCAATCAGTCCTCCTGTAACGGAGGACCCTGTTAACCAGCACCTCCACCAAAAAGCATTTTCTAACGCCACATTTACACTAAATAGGAAGAAGCATGTGAATGCTGTTTGAAACTTCAAAAACATACATAGAAAATAAGACTACATATTTGTTTATTTTTTGTAGAGATAAAGTCTCACTGTGTTACTCAGGCTGGTCTGGAACTCCTGGCCTCAAGAGATTCTCCCACCTAGGCTTCCAAAGTGCTGGGATTACAAGCATGAGCCACCACCACGCCCAGCCTAAAATGACATTTTAAAAAAGCAAAAAATGAGAAAGATATCCCTCAGCATGCTGGAGAGCTTGGACAGAGAGGCAGGGCAATGGAATCGGGGAGATACAGGGAGCATCACCAAATTTTACCTCAGAGTTAATTAGTGGGTTATTGAGGCTGTGTCATCAAGAAAACATAGTGAATAACCCAATTATCAGGTTAAAAGAAACATAGATGGTAAAAAATAATATAAATCCTAAAATTATAAAATATTGACATTTAAAAAGTAAAATGTTTATAGCAATCTTTTATATTTCAAAAGAAATATAAATGGCATAGACATTTCTTTCAATTTTCACAATTATACATTTAAAAACAAAGGGTGAGCATTTTGGGTCAAAATATTTAAATTATTTCTTTTCTGCTTAAGCTTATAATTTTATTCCCTTGCTCTATATCATGATATAATAATTCCCCTGTACTGTATTATGACATAATATCTTTTGTTTTTAGTATTTTATCACCAGATCATATTTTTCTGCTATAAAAATGTGAGTAAAAGTTTAATATTAATTTTTATATTTACATAAGAAATAAGGCTCTAAGGCTTTAAGTGTTAAAAATGTTTATATATTTTATTGGTAAATATATTTCACTGTCAGATATTGCTAAAATATATATTGAGCTATCTTTTATAATTATCAGTAAAATCAACAAAGTGTTAATTTTGTCAAAGAATTAAAATATAAAAATGAGTTTTAATGAAATGCATTTTTAATGAGAAACTTGGAGGGTTTTTTTTTTTTTTTTTTTTTTCATTTAGTTCACTGGTATATGAACGAATATTACTTTCTTTTTGCTGGAAGGAACAAGAGACAGGAGCTCAATTCTATTGTTTTGTTTTGTTTTGTTTTGTTTTGTTTTGTTTTGAGGCAGAGTTTTTCTCTGCTGCCCAGGCTGGAATGCAGCAGCATGATCACAGCTCACTGCAGTCTCCATCTCCCAGGCTCAAGCAATCCTCCCACGTCAGTTTCCCAAATAGCTGGACTACAGATGTGTGCCACCACGCCAAACTAATTTTTGTATTTTTAGTAGAGATGGGGCTTCGCCATGTTCCCCAGGCTGATCTCCAGCTCCTGGACTCAAGCAATCTGCCTCCCTCAGCCTTCCACAGTGCTGGGATTACACACATGAACCACTGCACCTGGCCAAGCTCTATTGTATTCTAATATGTATTTATCCCTTTCTTTATTTCTATTATAGTAAGCTTTGATAAAACTTGTTTATAAATTAGAAAATGGAGTAAGTGTTGTTATGACAATGTCATTTCTTTACACTCCCTCCATATTATTTGCCAAAACTCTATCGGTGGCCTTCTGAATTAGGCCTTCCTGGAGTTTTATTGAAATCAAGCAATGGAAATCACCCAAGTTGCAAATATTTGTTATCTAGACTTTTGGATTTTTCACTTCTATACTACTGATATGAATATTTCAAGCTCCCCTTTGATACTTCGAATGTTTTACATGCTGAGGAAATAGATAATAGGAATACTGAAGGATGTGAGGAAGAGGAAGGGATTGAGAGCAATCTTGGCACAAGAAAGTTCTTAGGTGGATCAGTTTTAGGAAAGCACCTGTATCAGATGAAAATTTAGAAACTGATTCTCTTAAAATTCTTTGAAAAATCTTAGGACAACCAGGTGTATGCATTTGGAGACTGATTTATAGAGTTATTTTGTAGATGCTAGATCCTTTAGGAAGAGAGAGAGAAGGAATAGATGCAGGAGAAAATGGGAAGGAAATGCTTACTTAAATAAAGCAAGAAAACAAACCCAATAAATAAGATAGTTAAAAAACAAAATTATCTGAAAGAAAAAAATAAATAAATAAATAGTATGTATAATGAAGAAGGAAGGTAAAAAGTTGCAAGATTTTGCCTACAGAAGACTGAGGTGCTTCTAATAGTTTGCTCACATGCAACAGATTCACAAATATGTAAGCAGCAGAAATGAGATCTCTGAGCCATGTCGTATAGTTCTGAGATTAGAATGTCTAGAGGTGATCCTGGAAAATCGGATTTTTAATCTTCACAGTATATTCTTCACTAAAGAACAGTAAATTTAGTTCTAAAATCAGAACTAAAAGAACTAAAATTTATGAACTGTTTATCTAGCCTATTCAATGGACTGAGTATTTCCTAAGCTTAAAACAACACCTGATGTTATAGTGTGTAGGTAAACGGGCTTTTTAAATTCTTTAATTTAAAATTATCAATTATCTTTAAAGATAATTAAAGAATTGATAAATAGGATTTTCCCATTTCCAGATTTGATTACTTCCATCAAGGCCATTTTCAGAGTATTAACATGCTATCACTGCACAAGGAATTGGGATAAGATGTGCACATTCAGCTCTTGCTGGACAGTGAAATCTTGCCCTATCACACTGCCGGTGATGATAGAGGAAGAGTCCCATTTGTCATTGTAGTAGATTAGCTTGTAGCCAACAAGAATACTCATAGAAAAAATTAGAAACGATAGATACATACCCCCATTCATTTAAAAGAACTAGGAAACTACCAAGGGAATCAGAAATTCAGGGGCTAAGATGCTGGAAATAACGGAAACTTATCTAAGTGTGCCTAACATCTAACGACCTGTCCCCTCAAAGCACTTGATAGTTCTAAAGCAGTAGAGAAGAGTTGAGAAGCCAATCAGTAAGAAAAAGCCAAGAGGCACATAACCTTTCCTGATTTGGAGGGAAACCTCACTGGGCTAAAGGCAAAGAATCTGCAATTTGAGTCTTCTAAGGCAGCTAGCCAGGTTAAGGGGAGGAGGTGGCTAAGATTCCTTAGAGAAGGAAATCATAGAGAAGTGAGCCTGAAAGTCTGATCTGGTTTATCATTCAAGATATTCTCATGGCCTCTAGTTGTGAAAAAAAAAGAAAAAAAGAAAAAAGAAAAAGCCAAGAAATTGAGGAGCTCCACAGAGCTTGTGATTGCCTCCAAGGGCTAAGGAGAGAAAAATTGAGTTCATAGTTTGCCACAAGATCCTGGAGAACACTGCAGCTTTCCAGTGGAAACATCTGACATACAAGACCTAAGAGTGAGCATGAATAATAAATAAACGAGTCCTAACAAAGATGGAAACCCAGCCCTAAAGCAGCCTAGTCCTTTACTGGATTGAACTGATCTGCTTCTGTTCTAATTATCTCTTGAAAGATAACGTTTCACCCAGAGTTTATACAAATTTTTAATACACAATTTCTGTCATCAATGTAAAATTCAGCAGGCATTTCAAGACACAAGACAAAGAGCTAGATCACAAGGTAATCAAGCTATTAGGATCATCATACACAGTCTTCAGGATAGTTGATTTACCTATTTAAGAACATAGATAACATCATAAATAATTTAAACAGAGATTTTGTACTGGTTTTCTATTTCTGAGTAACAAATTACCACAAACTTAATGGCTTAAAATAACACACATGTTTTGTCTCACAGTTTCTATGAATTGGACACAGCATAGCTGGGTCCCCGGCTCAGGGTTTCACAGGCTGTAATCACCACCTCAGCTGGGGTATGTTTTCATCTGGAAACTTAACTGAGAAAGACTCTACTTTCTAACTTCTTAAGGTTGTTGGTCAAATTCATTTCTCATAGCTATATGACTTAAAAATAAAGTAACTGAAATTGAGTATTCAACAGCCGTGTTTAAGAGCAGATTAGACATAGCTAACAGTAGGGTTCTTGCTCTAGAGTAGAACTAAGTAGAAATGTGTACATTGAAAGATGGAGTAGCTGGGTGCTTTGGCTCGTTCCTGTAATCCCAGCACTTTGGGAGGCCAAGGCGGGCTGGGGTCGGGAGTTCGACACCAGCCTGACCTACATGGAGAAACCCCATTGCCACTAAAAAAAAAAAATACAAAATCAGCCAGGTGTGGTGGCACATACCTGTAATCCCAGCTACTTAGGGGCTGAGGCAGGAGAATCGCTTGAACTCAGGAGGCAGAGGTTGCAGTGAGCCGAGATCGCCCCATTGCACTCCAACCTGGGCAACAGGAACAAAACTCAGTCTCAAAAGAAGAAGAAGAAGGAGGAGGAGGAGAAGGGGAAGAAGAGTAAAAGAGAAGACACATACTAAAAAGAGCATAAGAGATATTTAGGATGTAGCGAAAAGGTTAAATATATGGTTAATCTCAGTTAAAATAAGAAAAGGGGATATAATGGTACCAAAGTATTATTTAAATAAACACTGGCCAAAATTGTCAAAAACTGAGGAAAGATATCAAGCCACAGATTGAAGAACAAACAAATCCAAACTAGGACAAATACATAGAAAATCACTTTGCTCCTTCATCATCAAATTTGCCAAAAACAAAAGAAGGCAAAAGCACAAATATTTCCATAAAGAAGAAAAAAAAAACACTCATTGTTTAGAAGTAAAATAATAATGACAATTGAATAATTAATAAAAATGGTGGAAGTCAGATGTCAGTTGAAAATGTCTATTAAAATGATTCCACTATAAAATTATAAAATCAGAGAGAAAAAAATATAGATATTTCTCCAGACTTCCCTCCAGAAAATTGAAAACAAATTTATTGACAGCAGACAAATTTTAGGAAAAAAGAACTCACTTAAAAACATTTCCTCAGATTGAAGGAATATAATCCCATTATAAAATGGTGAAAAATAGAGCTATCTATGACAAACCCACAGCCAATATCATACTGAATGGGCAAAAACTGGAAGCATTCCCTTTGAAAACTGGCACAAGACAGGGATGCCCTCTCTCACCACTCCTATTCAACATAGTGTTGGAAGTTCTGGCCAGGCAATAGGGCAGGAGAAGGAAATAAAGGGTATTCAATTAGGAAAAGAGGAAGTCAAATTGTCCCTGTTTGCAGATGACATGATTGTATATCTAGAAAACTCCATCGTCTCAGCCCAAAATCTCCTTAAGCTGATAGGCAACTGCAGCAAAGTCTCAGGATACAAAATCAATGTGCAAAAATCACAAGCATTCTTATACATCAATAACAGACAAACAGAGGGCCAAATCATGAGTGAACTCCCATTCACAATTGTTTCAAAGAGAATAAAATACCTAGAAATCCAACTTACAAGGGATGTGAAGGACCTCTTCAAGGAGAACTATAAACCACTGCTCAATGAAATACAAGAGGATACAAACAAATGGAAGAACATTCCATGCTCATGTCTAGGAAGAATCAATATCGTGAAAATGGCCATACTGCCCAAGCTAATTTATAGATTCAATGCCATCCCCATCAAGCTACCAATGACTTTCTTCACACAATTGGAAAAAACTGCTTTAAAGTTCATATGGAACCAAAAAAGAGCCCGCATTGCCAAGTCAATCCCAAGCCAAAAGAACAAAGCTGGAGGCATCACACTACCTGACTTCAAACTATACTAGAAGGCTACAGTAACCAAAACAGCATGGTACTGGTACCAAAACAGAGATATAGACCAATGGAACAGAACAGAGCCCTCAGAAATAATGCTGCATATCTACAACTATCTGATCTTTGACAAACCTGACAAAAAGAAGAAATGGGGAAAGGATTCCCTATTTAATAAATGGTGCTGGGAAAACTGGCTAGCCATATGTAGAAAGCTGAAACTGGATCCCTTCCTTACACCTTATACAAAAATTAATTCAAGATGGATTAAAGACTTATATGTTAGACCTAAAACCATAAAAACCCTAGAAGAAAACCTAGGCAATACCATTCAGGACATAGGCATGGGCAAGGACTTCATGTCTAAAACAACAAAAGCAATGACAACAGAAGCCAAAATTGACAAATGGGATCTAATTAAACTAAAGAGCTTCTGCACAGCAAAAGAAACTACTATCAGAGTGAGCAGGCAACCTATAAAATGGGAGAAAATTTTTGCAACCTACTCATCTGACAAAGGGCTAATATCCAGAATCTACAATGAACTCAAACAAATTTACAAGAAAAAAACAAACAACCCCATCAAAAAATGGGCAAAGGATATGAACAGACACCTCTCAAAAGAAGACATTTATGCAGCCAAAAGACACATGAAAAAATGCTCATCACTGGCCATCAGAGAAATGAAAATCAAAACCACAATGAGATACCATCTCACACCAGTTAGAATGGTGAACATTAAGAAGTCAAGAAACAACAGGTGCTGGAGAGGATGTGGAGAAATAGGAACACTTTTACACTGTTGGTGGGACTGTAAACTAGTTCAACCATTGTGATTCCTCAGGGATCTAGAACTAGAAATACCATTTGACCCAGCCATCCCATTACTGGGTATATACCCAAAGGATTATAAAACATGCTGCTATAAAGACACATGCACACATATGTTTATTGCAGCACTGTTCACAACAGCAAAGACTTGGAACCAACTTAAATGTCCAACAGCAATAGACTGGATTAAGAAAATGTGGCACATATACACCATGGAATACTATGCAGCCATAAAAAATGATGAGTTCATGTCCTTTGTAGGGACATGGATGAAGCTGGAAACCATCATTCTCAGCAAACTGTCACAAGGACAAAAAACCAAACACCTCATGTTCTCACTTATAGATGGGAATTGAACAACGAGAACACATGGACACAGGAAGGGCAACATCACACACCGGGGGCTGTTGTGCGGTGGGGGGAGGGGGGAGGGATAGCATTAGGAGGTATACCTAATGTTAAATGATGAGTTAATGGGTGCAGCACACCAACATGGCACATGTATACATATGTAGCAAACCTGCACATTGTGCACATGTACCCTAAAACTTAAAGTATAACAACAAAAAAAAGAAATTTTAGAGCCAGAAAGAAAAATGGTGAAAAATAAAGAATTATAGAAAAAGTATATGTATGGCTAGCTGTAAGTGAATATTGTATAAAATAATAAAACTAATATCATGTAGATTTATTTATTTAATTTAATTTTATTTATTCATTTATTTTTTTTGAGATGGAGTTTCGCTCTTGTTGCCCAGGCTGGAGTGCAATGGTGTGATCTCGGCTCACCGCAACCTCCGCCTCCCAGGTTCAAGCAATTCTCCTGCCTCAGCCTCCTGAGTAGCTGAGATTACTGGCAGGCACCACCATGCCTGGCTAATTTTGTATTTTTAGCAGAGACAGGGCTTCTCCATGTTGAGGCTGGTCTCGAACTCCTGACCTCAGGTGATTCACCCGCCTTGGCCTCCCCAAGTGCTGGGATTACAGGCATGAGCCACCGCGCCTGGCTATCATGTAGATTTAAATTGTACATATTACTAATATGCATGACAAAAATACAAAATTTGAGAGGAAAATAGGTATTCAAGAGTTCTAGTATGTTCTAGTTCAGGAAATGGTAAATTTACATATTTATATTGACTTTTCAGATGCAGTCATACTCTATCATCTAGTATAAATTCTTAAATAATAGTAAAAACCAGTAACTTAAGAAGCAAATATAGTTACCAACAGAATAATAAAACACACATGATTAAGTCAAATGAGGCAATAGAGTACATGGAATTTAGACTCAGTGGAAAAAATATAAAGCAAATAGGGAGTGACATGTGTAAATGCATGTATACCAGTAATAAGAATTAAATGTAGATATGATCATTTATATGTTTAAAATCTAAAACTATTCACATAGGATACAGTGAGCTATATTCTCCTTATAATATACAGACATCAAAAGTTTTAAAGTAAAATAATAAATATCATATGCCACATAAACACAAATCAAAAGTTAACTGGTCTAGTTATACTAATATCAAACAAAGTGATTTTTAACGCAAAAGCATTTGTTAGAGAGAAATAATAATATCTCATATTTAGGAAGAGATAACAGGAAAGATTTTAAAAATCTGTTTGTTTGTACTTAATTTAATGGCCTCAAAGATGTATTAAAAATCAACAGAAAAAAAATCCATACTATGTATGATCTACAATATTAGTGGGAGATTTTAACACATCTATATCAGGAGATCATGGAGAATTACCATCAATCTGACTAAAACTCTTCTTGAAAGTAGAAGAAGAGGAAACAATTCACAACTTATACTATGAGGCCACGATTATCTGATATCAAAACCCACGGGTAGGGTTAGAAAGGAAAATAAGTGGCTATATCTTTTCCATCAATATATATATTTTTAATTCTAAATGACATATTTTCAAATCCAATTTGTATAAACAAGATAATATATCAAGATCAAGTCAACTTTATTCTAAGAATAAAACATTAGCTTCACTTTTATAAAACAATCAATATGATTAACTATAATAACATAAAGCAAGAGAAATAAAAACACATGTTCCCCTAAACAGATTTAGAAAAAAAACTTTGATAATATCAAATATTTTCATAATAAAAACCAGAAACTTTTAGAAAACTAGGAGTATAAGAATACTTTATTAACATCAAAAGTTGTCTACAAAACGTCTACTACAAACATCATAATGATTGTGAAATTTTGAAAACTTTCCTTATGAGGACAGGAAAAAGAAAAAAACACTCCTATCACCATTCTGTTTTATGCTGTACTGGAGCAGCTGATAAACCCTATTTAGTGAAGAAAAAAAATACAGGTAATATTGGTTGAAAAAGAAGAAACTGTCATTAATCATAGACTACGTGTTTGTATACATAGATCATTTTTGTGAAATTGGAATAGGCAAAGATCCCCTAGACAGGACTACACACAAAAAAAACATGCAAAAAAAGGCAAATTAAAAAAACCTAACCTAAAGATGAAATTCTAAAATCATATGTATATTTAGTAAATTCCACTAGATAAAATAAATAAAAATTAATGGTTCAGACTTCTGTTCTTATCTCAAACATGCAAAGATCCTGAAAATTGCCACTCCTATCCTTATAATAAGACAGGACTGCGCAAAGTGAAAATCAGTGACATCTCATGAACTCATTAACAACAACCCAAAAATCTAAAGAAGCAGGTATATCTAGAAACACAGTCTATGTTTACTTATCTGAAAGAGAAACTACAAAAGTCATAAATCTATAGAATACATGGTACTTTCGATAAAGTGCTGGAGGCAGACTGTGAACTATTATGAAGGTAAAAATCCTGGGGGCTGTATTCCGATGGCATCTACACTTTTGAAGATTTTACCTCCTGAAACTCCACTGGGTTCTCACAATGCGGATTTAAGCAGGATCTTCTGGGCTCTGGCAGGGAGAGGAGAAAAATCCCTATGAGATACTCCTAAAGCCTTCCAGATATAAAAGTCCTCGCCGCCAGGCAGGAACGTTTGTTCCAGAGCTTCATATCACCTGGAAGAAGGACATTTTTTTTTTCTCCATGGCCTCCTCTCAACTCCCTTCTCACCTACAGTGGAAGAACACCTACCCATCAGAGATCGGAACATCAAGGAAATAGATCAGGATCACTGCATCTTGGAAAAGAAAGAAGTAAGAGGGGAAAGACTGGAGAAACTCTTGGGAAGGTAACAGCCCTGAGGGACTGGTCCACTAAAAGGACAGTAAGATTATACAACAGCCCTCTTCCCCACACTTTACTAACAACCATATTAATAGGGATGAAGTATAAGAACAACAGCTTGCGATTGAAAAAGCTGCAAGACGCATAGTCTCTGAGGAGGAATACAAAGGAAAAGCCAAAGTCTAGAAGGGAAGGCATAAAAAAGGGCATTGAAATAAATGAAAATCTCTGGTACATACAGCAAAAGCACACATTAAGCACAGCCCCATTTCTAGACATAGTAGTAGCACTGCCTTCGCCTTAGACTAAAGGTCCGTTTTCCTCCTTTACTATTATTTGATACGATATGTCTAGTTTTCTACAAAAACTTATCAGGCATGCCAAAAGACAAGAGAAAAAGCAGAATCTGAAGGGACAAAAGAATTATCTGAATCCTGTGAAATATGATGGTGGTATTGGAATTATAAGACAGATAATTTAATTACAAGTGATTAATACTATTTAATTACAAGTATTAATAACTCTGATTAATAGATTAAGGGCACTCATGGATACAGTGGACACCATGCAATAACAATTCTCTCTGTAAGCAGAGAGAGTGAAACTCTAAGAAGGAATAAAAAAGAAATTATGGAAATAAAAGACAATGTAACAAAATTGAAAAATGTCATTGATGGGCTCATCAGTAAACTCCACACAACTGAGGAATCAGTGAACTTTAAGATAAGTCAACAGAAACTTCTCAAACTGAAAAGCAGAGAGTAAAACAGTGTGTGTATATGTGTATATATACATATACACATGTATATGTGTGTGTATATATTATATTATATATATAATATATATAATGTGTATATATGTATATTATATATATATATAACAGAAACATCAAAAAATATGGCACAATTTCCAAAGATGGGAAATATACCCAACATAAGCAAAATATTTAAAGTAATAATAGCTGAAAATTTTTCAAGATAATGACAGAAAACAAACTATAAATCCAAGAAACCCAGAGAACACTATTCAAAATAAAGACCCCAAATTCCACATCTAGGCATTCCCAAATTCCACATCTGGAACACTATTCAGAATAAGTACCCCAAATTCCACATCCATAATATATTCAAACTGCAGAAAACCAAATAAAAATAGAAAATATTGAAATAACTCAATGTCCCACCTTATCTATATGTTTAAAATTTTCTAATTTATTTTTAATCATTACTACTTTTTTTTTTTTTAAAAAAAGACAGTCTTATTCTGTTGCCCAGCCTGGAGTGCAGTGGCATGAACATGGAACACTGCAGTCTGAACTTCTAGGCTCAAGTGATCCTCCCATCTCAGCCTCCCGAGTAGAGGGGACTACAGGCACCTGCCACTATGCCCAGCTAATATTTTCATTTTTTGTAAAGATGAAGTCTTGCTATGTTATCCAGGCTGATTGCATACTCCTGGGTTCAAGTGATCCTCCTGCCTCAGCCTCCCAAAGTGTTGGGATTACAGGTGTGAGCCACCACACCCAGCCATAGCTTACCTATAGATGAACAAAACCAAATTAGATTAGATATGTCACTAGGAATCAGGCAAGCAAGGAGAGAGGGGAGTTAAATATAAAAATGATGAAAAAATTACCAACCTAGAATTCTATAAATAGCAAAATTATACTTCAAAGGCACAGAAGTACAGACTTTCTCTTTCTTAGGAAATCAATCACCCTTAAGCCTGCCTTGCAAAAAATGTTAATAGAAATTCTTCAGAAAGAAATAAAATTATATACAGCAGAAACTTTTGTCTACATAAAGAAAGAAAGGACATAGGAGAAAGAATAAAGCTTTTATTTTCATTTTTTAAAATTTTTTTAACTTATTTTATTTTCTTTTTTTAAGTTCCAGGGTATATGTGCAGTGTATGCAGGCTTGTTACATAGTAAAACATGTACCATGGTAGTTTGCTGAAGCTAACAACTCATCACCTAGGTATTAAGCCCAGCATGCATTAGCTCTCTTCCCTTATGCTCTCCCCTCCCACCCCACCCCTTCCCAACAGCCCCAGTAAGTGTTGTTCTTCTCCCTGTGTCCATGTGTTCTCATTGTTCAGTTCCCACTTACAAGTGAAAAATGCAGTTAGTTTGCTGAGGATAGTGATCCTTATTATTTTGAGATATGTTTCTTCAATATCTAGTTTATTGAGAGTTTTTTTTTTAACATGAAGACATGTTGAATTTTATCAAAGGCCTTGTCTGCGTCTATTGAGGTAATCATGTAATTTTTGTCTTTATATCTGTTTATCTGATGAATTACATTTATTGATTTGGGTATGTTGAACCAGCCTTGCATTCTGGGGATGAAGCCAACTTGATTGTGGTGGATAAGCTTTTTGATATGCTGCTGGATTCTGTTTGCCAGTATTTTATTGAGGATTTTTGCATTGATGTTTATCAGGGATATTGGCCTGAAGTTTTTGTTGTTGTTGTTCTATCCCTGCCAAGTTTTGGTATCAGGATAATGCTGGTCTCATAAAATGAGTTAAGGATTCCCACCTTTTCAATTGTTTGGAATAGTGTCAGAAGAAATAGTACCAACTCATCTTTGTACCTCTGGTAGAATTCAGCTGTAAATCCATCTGGACCTGGACTTTGTTTTTGGTTGGTAAGCTATTTATTACTGCCTCAATTTCAGAATTTGTTGTTGATCTATTCAAGGATTCAACTTCTTCCTGGTTCAGTCTTGGGAGGGTGTATGTGTCCAGGAATTTATCCATTTCTTCTAGATTTTCCATTTTACTTGCATAGAGGTTTTTATAGTGTTCTCTGATAGTTGTTTGTATTTCTGTGGGGTCAGTAGAGGCATGCTTCTTATCGTTTCTGATTGTGTTTATTTGAGTCTTCTCTCTTTTCTTGTTTGTCTCACTAGTGGCCTATCTTATTGATTAAAAAAAAAAAAACAGCTCAGGCTGGGCGTGGTGGCTCACACCTGTAATCCCAGCACTTTGGGAGGCCGAGGCAGGCAGATCACGAGGTCAGGAGATCGAGACCATCCTGGCTAACATGGTGAAACCCTGTATCTACTAAAAATACAAAAAAAATTAGCCAGGTATGGTAGCAGGTGCCTGTAGTCCCAACTACTCAGGAGGCTGAGGCAGGAGAATGGCATGAACTCGGGAGGCAGAGCTTGCAGTGAGCCGAGGTTGCGCCACTGCACTCCAGCCTGGGCGAGAGCGAGACTCTGTCTCAAAGAAAAAAAAAAGCTCCTGGACTCATTACTTTTTTTTGAAGGGTTTTTCATGTCTCTATCTCCCTCAGTTCTGCTCTGACCTTGGTTACTTATTGTCTTCTGCTATCTCTGGGGTTTGTTTGCTCTTTGTTCTCTACTTTTTTAGTTGCGATGTTAGGGTGTCTATTTGACATCTCTAGCTTTTGAAGTGGGCTTTATTGCTATAAATTTCCCTCTTAGCACTGCTTTAGCTGCATCCCAGAGATTCTGATACATTGTCTTTTTGTTCTCACTGGTTTCAAAGCACTTACTGACTTCTGCCTTAATTCAGTTATACCCAGGAGTCATTCAGGAGCAAGTTGTTCAATTTTCATGTAGTTGTGTGGCTTTGAGTAGGCTTGTTAATCTTGGGGTTCTAATTTGATTGCACTGTGGTCTGAGGCACTGTTTGCAATAATTTCAGTGCCTTTGCATTTGCTGAACAGTGTTTTACTTCCAATTATGTGATCAATGTTAGTGTAAGTGCTATGTGGTGTAAAAAAATGTATATTCTGTTGTTTTGGGTAGACAGTTCTGTAGATAGTTATCAGGTCTACTTTGTCTAGAACTTAGTTCAAGTCCTGAATATCTTTGTTAATTTTCTGTCTCAATGACCTGTCTAATACTGACAGTGGGGTATTAAAGTTTCCCATTATTATTGTGGTGGTGGGGGTTCTAAGTCTCTTTGTAGGTCTCTAGGAACTTGTTTTATGAATCTGGGTGCTCCTTTATTGGGTGCATATATATTTAGGATAGTTAGCTCTTCTTGTTGCACTGATCCCTTTGACATTATGTAATGCCTTTTGCAACCCCTCCTTTTATTCTGCTTTCCATTTCCTTGGTAAATTTTCTTCCATCCCTTTATTTTGAGTTTATGTGCATCTTTGCACATAAGATGTGTCTCTTAACTACAGCACACCAATGCGTCTTTTCTTTATATCCAGCTTGCCTTTCTGTGTCTTTTTTTTTTTTTTTTTTTTTTTTTTTTGAGACGGAGTCTCGCTCTGTCGCCCAGGCCGGACTGCGGACTGCAGTGGCGCAATCTCGGCTCACTGCAAGCTCTGCTTCCCGGGTTCACGCCATTCTCCTGCCTCAGCCTCCCGAGTAGCTGGGACTACAGGCGCCCGCCACAGCGCCCGGCTAATTTTTTGTATTTTTTTTTTTTTTTAGTAGAGACGGGGTTTCACCTTGTTAGCCAGGATGGTCTCGATCTCCTGACCTCATGATCCACCCGCCTTGGCCTCCCAAAGTGCTGGGATTACAGGCGTGAGCCACCGCGCCCGGCCTCTGTGTCTTTTAATTCAGGCATTTAGACCATTTACATTTACCTTTAATATCGTTATGTGTGAATTTGATCTTGTCATCATCATGCTGGCTGGTTAATTTTGCAGACTTGTTAATGTAGTTGATTCATAGTGCTGTTGGTCTGTGTACTTTGGAGTGTTTTTGTAGTGTCTGGTAATGGATTTTCCTATCCATGTTTAGTCCTTCCTTTAGGAGCTCTTGCAGGGCAGGCCTGGTGGTGACAAAATCCCTCAGCATTCGCTTGTCTGAAAAAGATTTTATTTCTCCTTTGCTTATGAAGCTTAGTTTGGCCAGATATGAAATTCTGAGTTGAAATTTATTTTCTTTAAGAATGTTGAATATTGACCCTTACTCTCTTCTGGCCTGTAGTGTTTCTGCTGAGAGATCCACTGTTAGTCTAATGGGCTTCCTTTTGTAGGTGACCTGACCTTTCTCTCTGGCTACGCTTAACATTTTTTCCTTCATTTTGACCTTGGCAAATCTGATGATTATGTGTCTCAGGGTAGACATATTTTCATGGAGTATCTTACTGGGGCTCTCTGGATTTCCTGAATTTGAATACTGGCCTGTCTTGCTAGGTTGGGGTAGTTCTTCTGGATGATATCCTGAAGTGTGTCTTCCAACTTGTTTCCATTCTCCCCATCTCTTTCGGGTACTCCAATCAGTCATAGGTTCAGTCTTTTTACATTCCCATAGTTCTTGGAGGATTTGTTTGTTTCTTTACTTTTTTTCCCTCTAATCTTGTCTGCCTGTCTTATTTCAGCAAGATAGTCTTCAAGCTCTGATATTCTCTCTTTCACTTGGTCGATTCTGCTATTTATACTTGTGTTTGCATCATGAAGTTATCAGACTGTGTTTCTCTGCTCCATTAGGTCATTTATGTTTCTCTCTAAACTGATTATTCTAGTTAACAGCTCCTGTAATGTTTTATCATGGTTCTTAGCTTCTTTACATTAAGTGGGAACATAATTCTTTAGCTCAGTGAAATTCATTATTACCCACTTTCTGAAGCCTACTTCTGTCAGTTCATCCAGCTCAGCTTCAGCCCCATTCTGTACCCTTGCTGGATAAGTGTTGCAATCATTTGGAAGAGAAGAGACATTCTGGCTTTTGGAATTTTCAGCATTTTTGCTTTGATTTTTCCTAATCTTCGTGGATTTATCTACCTTTGATCTTTGAGTCTGGTAATCTTTGCGTGGGGCTTTTGTTGGGTCTTTTTGTTGATGTTGTTGTTGTTGTTACTTTCTGTTTGTTTGTTTTTCTTCTAACAGTCAGATTCTTCTTCTGCAGGTCTGCTGCAGTTTGCATGGGGTTCATTCCAGAACCTGTTCACCTGAGTATCACCAGTGGAGGCTGCAGAACTGCAAAGATTGCTGCCTGCTCCCTCCTCTAGAAGCTTGTCCCAGAGGGGCACCAACCTGATGCCAGCTGGAACTCTCCTGTATGAGCAGTCTGGCAACCCCTGTTAGGAAGACTCACCCAGTCAGGAGGCACAGGATCCAGGACCCACTTAAGGAGGGTCTTTGACTTTCCGTTAGTGGAGCTGGTGCACTGTGCTGGAGGAATCCCCCTAATTGGGATTAGCCAGTCTTAAGTGGCAGAACTTGAGACTGTGCCCACCCTTACCCCAAGGTGCTCTGTTCCAGGGAGATGACAGTTCTGTTTCTAAGCCCCTGACTGGAGCTGCTGAAATTCCTGCTTGGTGAGGAGGGATGGCTGTGGGTCCCAGCTAAAGAGGCAGTCTGGCCACAATCTGCAACAGCCACTTTGCTGCACTGTGGGGAATTCTGCCCAGTCCAAACCGCCTCGTTTTCTTTGCACTGGTTAGTGGAAAACCACCAACTACAATGGCAGTAAATGCTGTTGCCCCTCCCGTTGGGAACTCAGTTGTCCCAGGCAGCAGGGATCTCATGCCAGTGAGTCTTAGCCTGCGGGACTCCATGGGAGTGGGACCGGCTGATCAAGACTGCTTCAGCCCCCTTTCCACAAGAGTGGACGGTTCTCCTGCCTCACTGGAGTTCCAGGCACCACTGTAGTATGTAAAAACTCCTGCAGCCCAGTGCCTGCCCAAACAGCCTCTGACGGGAGCAGCTGTCCTTGGTTTGCCCAGTTTTATGGTTAAGACCCAAAGCCCTAGTAGTGTAGGCTCACAAGGGACTCTCCTGATCCACAGATTGCAAAAATCCATTGGAGAAGGGTAGTACCCCTGGCAGGTAGAACAGCCCCTCACTACTTCCCTTGATTACAGGAGGGAGGTCCGCCCACCCTGTGCAGCTCCTAGATAAAGTGACGCTCCACCCTGCTGCTGGTTCTCTATGGGTCGTGCCAACTACCTAGTTGGTCCCAATGAGATGAAGTTGGTACCTCAGTTGGAGAAGCAGAAATCATTTGCCCTCCCCGTTTGTGTCACTGGGAGCTGCAGACCGGAGCTGTTTCTATTTGACCATCTTGGCCCCTTCCCCATTTTTCTTATCCTTAATTGATTTAAAAGATAACTGTTTAAAGTAAAAACAAACAATGTATTGCATAATTTTATAATAGGTAAATGAAATGACAGCAATGAATGACAGCAAATGAAATGACAGTAAATGAATGACAGCAATGTCACAGAGATGGAAGGGAGGAATTTCTAATGTTCTTGACTAAATGTTTATTGGTACTTGAAATTGAATTTAGATTAGTTTAGCATGTTTATTGTAAACTCCACCACCACTAACATTAATTTTTAAAGAAGTATAACTAATATTCTAAGTGAGGTGATAAAATGGAATCATATGAATTGCTCAGTTAAAACCAAAGAAGGCAGAAGAAGAGGCAAAAAGGAATAATGTAACAAATGGAAAAGTTACAAACATGATAGATATTAATCCAACTATATCAACTATCACTTTAAATGTAAATGGCCTACATATATCAATTAAACGAAAGAGATTGTCAGAGTAGATGAAAAGAACTGAATTATATGTTGTCTAGGTAAAATCAACTTTAAATATAAAGAACTAGATGAGTTAAAAGTGAAAAAATTGAGAATATCTACCAATCTAAAACTAATCAAAAAAATTAAAATAGTTATTTTAGTTTGAGACAGTGCAGACCATTGAACAAGGAAAATTGTCAGGGATAAAGACAGGCATTACATAAAGATAAAGGGGTCTGAGAAGACATAAACATCTTAAACATGCATACATCTGACAGAGTTATCAAAATACATGAGGCGAAAACTGATAGAAGAAGATAGGAAACTGAAAGGAGAAATAGACAAATGCAGTGTTACAAGTAGAGACCTCAATAGTTGCCAGTAATTGATAGATCAAGCAGGTATAAACTCAGTAAAGATACAGAAAACTAAACAGAACTATAAATTAACTCAATCTAATTTATGTTTATAGACTATGCCATAAAACAATAGACAATACTTGTTCTTAAGTTCACAGGAAAAATTCATTGAAATAGACTACTTTCTGGCCATAAGACATGTTGACAATTTATTTAAGCAATCTACAAAGTGTGTTCTTAAAGCGTAATGGAATTAAACTAGAAATCAATAATAGAAAGATAGATTTAAAATTTCCTAAATATTTGAAAATAAACAACACACTTTTAAATAAGCTTTGGATCAATATTTCTTCATATATATTTAAAAATATTTTTAATTACATAAAAATGAAAATATAACTTACCAATATATGGGAAGCTGCAAAAACTGCTTAGAAAGAAATTTATAGCATTAAAAGCACACATTAGAGAAAAATAATGATTTAAAATAACTACCCAAGCTTTCACATTAGGAAACTAGAGAAAAAAAGAACAACTGCAGCATAAAGAAAACAGAAAAGTACAATAAAGTGAATCTTTGCACAGACCATACAACTTTCTAAAAATTAACTCAAAATGGATCACAGACCTAAAATGCAAAACCTCTAAAACTTCTGAAGATAACATTGGAAACAAATCTAGTTGACCTTCTTTTTCATAATGGTTCTTCATTTCAATACCAAAAGAAAAGTCCGTAAGAGGAAAAAAAAAAAGATAACTAATCATAAGTTCTTCAACCTCATTCTTTTTCAAAATTATGTGGCTATTCTGGGTGTTTTCTATTGGCATACACATTTTTCTGATTAGCTTGTCATGTTCTGCAAAAGATATATCATGTTCATGGATTGGAAAACTCAAAATTGTTAAGGTGTCAATTCTCTCCAGTTTGATCTATGCATTCAATTCAATTCATCAAAATGTCAGGGAGCTTATTTGTAAATGCTAACAAGCAGTTTCTAAAATTTATATCAAAAGGAAAAAGAACTAAAAGGGTTATACATTTTTTTAAAAAACAAAAAAGAGTGTTACACTAGGCAATTTTAAGACTTATTAAAAAGCTATCATAATCAAACAAGGTGTTATCAGTGAAAAAAATACACATAAATCAATGAAACAGAATAAAGACCCATAAAAAGATCCATAAAAATATAGTCAATAAGTTTTTTAAGTGCAAAGGCAACTCAATGAGGAAAACATAGACTTCAAAATTGATACTGGAACATTTCCAAGTCCATATGCAAAATAAATTAATTTCAACCTATACCCCGCATATTATACCCCGCATATTGAACTAAAATGGAACATAGATCCAGATATAAAGAGTAAAAAACTGAAAATACTTATAAGGAAACATAAAAGAAAATTTGCACAGTTTTTAAGTATTATGTTGAGTTTCAGATATGACAACAAAAGCAGAATCTATAGAAAATTATACTATAATGTTATCAAAATAAAAACGTTTTCTCTGTGAAAGTTATTGTTAAAGGAAGGGAAAGTAAGCAAATAACTGAGAGAAATATATGTAAATCATATATCTGATAATACGTAAAGAACTCTTAAACTCAACAAGGGAAAAAATGTAATTTAAAAAAATGGACAAAAAGCTGAACAGACACTTCACCAATGAACATATATGGACATCAAGGAAGCATATACTTATCATTAGGGAAATACAAATCAAAAGTACCCTGAGATACCATTACACATCTATTATAATGACACCCAGTGCTGGCAAGGATGCTATGTTAATTATCTAGGGCTGCTAAATTAGTCTACTATGGCTGCCATACAAATTACCACAAAACGGGTAGCTTAAACAATGTAATTTTATTGTCACATAGTTCTAGAAGCCAAAAGTCTAAAGTCAAGCAACCCTCCAGTTGATTCTTTCTGAGGACTGTGAGAGAAGAATCAGTTTCAGTCCTCTCTCATTAGCTTGCAGATAGTCGTTTTCTTCCTCTTTCTCTATGCATGTCTGTGTCTTAATTTCCCCTTTCTATAAAAATACCAGTCATATTGAATTAGAGCACACCTTAATTGCCTCATTTTAATTTGATAACCTCATTACATCCTATGGTACTGAGGGTTAGAATTTCTTTTTTAAAAAAATCATTTTACTTTAGATTCAGGGGGTACAAGTGCATGTTTGCTACATGGATATATTGTGAAAAGGTGAAGATTTGGCCTCTACTGTACTCATCACCCAAATACTGAATATTGTCCCCAATAGGTAATTTTTCATCCCTCATCTTTCTCCTATCCTTTTGGAGTCCCCAGTGACCATTATTTCCATCTGTATGTCTGTGTGTACCCCATATTTTGCTCCCATTTATAAGTGAGAACATGTAATATTTGAATTTCTGTTTCTGAGTTAGTTCACTTAGAATAATTGCCTCCAGGTCCATCCATGTTTCTGCAGAGTATAAGATTTCATTCTTTTTTGTGGCTACATAGTATTACATGATGTATATGTGCCACATTTTTTTAATCTTCTCAACCATTTAGGGACACATGGTTTGGTTCCATGACTTTGCTATTGTGAGTAATGTTTTGATAAACATATAAGTGCAGGCATATTTTTGTACATAATGATTTACTTTCTTTTGGGAAGATACCCAGTAGTGGGATTACTGGGTCAAATGGTAGTTCTATTTTTAGTTCTTTGAGATATCTGCATACTGTTTTAGATAGAGGTTGAACTAATTTGCATTTTTACCAACAGTGTATACACATTCCCTTTTCTCTGCATCCACGTCAACACTTGTTTTTTGAAGTTTGGGGGCCACAATTCAACCCATAGTAGATGCTGAGAAGAAGGAATGCTCATTCATTACAGATGGGAATGCAAAATTAGACAGCCTCTCTGAAAACAGTTTGCTAGCTTCTCATAAAGGTAATCATACACTTTCCAGATGACCCACAGTCACACTTTAAAGTATTTACACAGGAAATTGAAAACATGTTCACAAACTATGGAACTCAGCAAAAATAAGGAACTATTGAATCACACAATAACATTAAGCTATGTTAAATATATATTGCTATTTAAAGAAGTCAAATTCCTATGGTACACATTTCATTGCTTATAGAAGGCATTCTGAAAATAGGCAAAATTATAAGGGGAGAAAACCAAATACTAGCTGGCATAGTATGGAGAAAATGGATGAGTTGACTACAAAGGAGCCACAAAACTGAAATTTCAGGATAGAGAAACTGGTTTGTGTGGTATATACCTAGCTCTAAATGCTTGTCAAAACCCATAGAAATGTATACAACAAATAATGAACTTAACTGTGTTCAAATAAAAACATATAACCCAGGATGTTAGGAAATTCCTGGATTGAATGTACTATGACAAATGACTCTAACTGTATTACAAATGTTTGACATAACCTTACTGATGGAGGTGGAGAAAAACAAATTGAACTAAGCAACTTTGGAAAACGGTGCTTTCACCAGATGCTGTACAGCTGAAGATGAAGATATAGTATAAAAAATATTGGTATCTAGTTGCTAATTGGTTTCTTGTAGGGCACAGGTTAGCAGTTTGGAAACTACTTCAGATAGACAGATACAGATAGATAGATAGATACATAGCTACATAGATACATAGATAGATACATAGATAGTCAAATATTTAAATAAAATTTAGATGATGCAAACCAGGTTTCTCTTTAACAAAGAAAGAAGTTAACTTACAAATAAGAAAGAATGACTACAATGAACACTTGGTGCTGAATTAGAACCAGGCATTACAGATATTTCAGTATTAACTCATGTTCATTTTAATATATCTACATATTATGTATGTATATATATATAGAGAGAGGGAGATAAATGCAGGAATAATTATAGATACGTATGTGTAAACTGGTTAATTTTAATACATGTTTCCTATTGAGCTCCTGAGACAGCCTAGAAACAGCAATATCCCCAGTAATAATGAGCTCACTCAGCACCCAAATCTTGGATGATAAGTACCATTCTCCAGTAAACGAAGCCAGAGATCCTTAAATAAATGACTAAATCTAGAGTTCGTACAGGGAAAACACAAAATAAGCTTATATCCTCTTGTAATGTCAAAAAGTAAAAATTTGCTAAACAAATACGTAAGAAGTAAAAATGAGGGAGCATGTTGTCAAAAGGACACAGAAGTCAACCTGAAAAATCTCTCGAGGCTGGAACAATTTGAAGAATATATTACATAATGATAGTATTGGATCATAATCAAAAGAAGAAACTAAATATCAGTGACTTTATGCTTCTATAAATGTCTGAATAAATAAATGAAAAAACAATGTTTCTTATGGAAGAATTTCAATTATTAAACACAAAAGGAATGAGAAAAAAGGGAAAATCACCCTTAGAACACTACAGTAACAAGCACAGGCAAAATTAAAATCAATTGAAGAAACTTTAAAGGAAACAGGACACTTAGAATCAAATTATCTCCCCTGCATTTATTAATAATTGTGGCCATTTTAGCTTGTGATCACAATTCTTTGAAGCTGTTTTCAACCAGGAGGTAAAAGTTAATGTCTCTCTACTTGAGTGAGGCCTGGACTTAGTGACTCATTTCTGAAAAAATAGAGTATGGAAAGCAAAAATTAGTAACTTTACAGTACAGAAAGCAGGCAGATTCTTTCCTAACCAAATGATCAAATCTAATAGCACCAATGATAAATTATACTGGTATCACATGTCCCCGATACAATGTGATGAGAAGGGCATATCTGTTTCCTTTACCATAATATTAAAGAGCGGAGTTTACAGACAGCCTTATCTTATTCTTGACAGTGAGAAAGATTCTGACATTTCCCCATTAGATTGGGAACAGGCTGACTTCTCTGATATGCATAGTCATGTTGGGAAGGAATCCATCAATTTCTGTTTTACTATATTTGTTTTTAAACTTCATAGAGGAGTTTGTCATAAACACAGAAAATCACAAAAATCTTACATTTGTAGCTCATTTGTTCACACACACTGAACACACCCTTGTATGCAATAACTCGGTCAGGAAGAGAACATCCCCAGCACTCCGGAATATATATATATATATTTATTTATTTATTTATTTATTTATATATATTTATATATAAATTTATTTATATATATATAAATTTATTTATATATAAATATATAAATTTATTTATATATAAATATATATATAAATTTATTTATATTTATATATATAAAAATTCATTTATATATAAATATATATATAAATTCATTTATATATAAATATATATAAATTCATTTATATATAAATATATATAAATTCATTTATATTTATATATAAATTCATTTATATTTATATATAAATTTATTTATATTTATATATAAATATATAAATAAATTTATTTATATATTTATATATAAATATATAAATAAATTTATTTATATATTTATATATAAATATATAAATAAATTTATTTATATATATATATATATTTACGTTTTAAGTCACCAAAGACTACAAAGGGAACAAAATTCCTAGTCTTCACTACCAAACATTAGTTTTGTTGGTTTTGACCTCAGCAAAAATGTAATTATATAGTATGCACTCATTTGCCTCTGGTGTCTTTTACTACATATCATGTTTTCAGTGTTTATTTACATTGGAAACATAGTGGGAAAACTATCCATATCTGAAGAGGCTTTGATGATATATCTGGAAAATCCAACTGTTTGCTTAGTATCTTAGAAGGTTATTGAGTTATCATTTATAGATATAAATAATAGCTAGACAAAACATAATGAAAGCAGATCCTATTTTTATAGCAAATAAGAAAATAACTGGTATAATTTTAGCTAGAGTTATCTAAAGCTAATAGAAGGAAAACTAAGAAATACCCTGAGAGGGAGAAAAAAACATATCCTTAAAAACTGGAAAGATATATTGCATTCTTGCACAGGAAGACAAGATCATTAGCATGTAAATTATCCTTAAGTTAATGTGCATATTAAATATAATCCTAATAAAAATACCATATTTTTTCTGCACCTAAGGTAATTATAAATTCTATTTTAAAGAAAAGAAGTAGTCTTATCCAATACTAAAATATACCCTAAGATTTTCATAACTAAAATGTCACTCTTGGTGCATGGATAGAAAGACAGACCAATGGAACAGAAGGAAAAATCCAGAAATATTCCTAATTACACACACACACATTTAGCGTATATTAAAGCCAGCATCTTAAATTCATTATGAAAATATCAGCCTGGGTTCTTTGGCTCACACCTGTAATCCTAGCACTTTGGGAGGCCGAGACTGGCTGATGGCTCAAGCCCAGGAGTTCAAAAACAGCCTGGGCTACATGGCGAAACCTCATCTCCGCAAAAAATTCAAAAATTAGCCTAGCATGGTGATGGTCGCCTAGAATCCCAGCTACGCAGGAGGCTGAGGCAGGATGATCAACTGTGCCAGGAGATCGAGGCAGCAGTGAGCCCTGAACACACCACTACACTCCAGCCTGTGTGACAGAGTAAAATCTTGTCTCAAAAAGAAAAGAAAAAAAAAGAAGATCAACTATTTAAAGATGGCATTGAAATAGCTGGATAGCTATATGGAAAACAGATGTTATAACAAAGAAACAATTCTAATTCTACTTACCATATATCACAATAAATTTCAAATAGATCAGATAATTAAAAGTAAAAAGTGAAAGTATGCATTATCTAGGAAAAAATATCAGTGAATACCTTTATAACATGAAACTAAGAAATAGTCATAATCATGACTGAAAATACAGAAAGAGTAATTAAAAGATAAGAAAGTTAGAATGCAAAAAAGAAAAAAGTTGTTTGTTTGTTTTTTTGACAGAGTCTTGCTCTGTTGCCCAGGCTGGAGTACAGTGAAACAATCATAACACACTGAAGCCTCAACCTCCCAAACTTAAGCAACCCTACCACCATGCCTGGCTAATTTAATTTTTTTTTTTTTTTGTAGAGATGAGGTCTCACTATGGTTCCCAGGCTCATTTTGAACTCCTGGACTCAAGCCATCCTCCCACCTTGGCCTCCAAAAATGCTGTAATTATGGCAGTGAGCCACTGCATCCAGTCACAACTTTCAAATGAGAAAATAAAAGCAAACTGAAGACACATATACTGTGAAAATATATGTGAAAAATACATATGTGTGTGTATTTGTTCATGTATGTGTGTGTGTGGTGTTTGTGAATATATGGGAATATTGGTTTATATCTCTAATAACATTTCTAAGAGTACAGAAGAAAAACATCAACAATCTGACTGAGAAATTCAAATTGCTTTAAATCTTAGCAATGTTAAGCTCATGCATGACAGAAACATTGCAAGCCTAAACTATGTTATACGTTATTTCTCAGCTGTCGGTTGGTAAAATCAAAAAGCTTGACAGTATCCTCTGTTGATGAGGCTCTTATACATTGCTAGAGTGCATAAAAATGTTACAGATTATATAATGGTGAGCTTAACAATATCTAGCAAAAATGCATATGCATTTATCTTTAACCTAGTTATCCGACTTTTAGGGGTCACCCAAAAGATAGCTTGGCAAAAATGTGAAAAGACTGTGTACAAGGCTTTATTATTGCAGAAAAAATAGCAACAGAATGGAAACAACTCCAGGGTCCATTTATTAAACTGCATCAGTTGAATCAACTATAGTACATTCACACAATAGATTCTAGAAAGTTGTAAAAATCAACGATGAATATTCCTGTTTTTAAAAGAAAAAAATAAAGAAAATAATTTTAATAAGTATATTATGTGGCTACTTTTTAAAGAAAAAATGTTTAAAAATAAAAACATTCTAAGTACTATTATTGCTCCACTTCCAAGTACATTATTAAGTGTAAATAATGGCAGAGAAGTATATGTATAGTGTAATACCATTTATCTAAGAAGGGGCTAGAGTAGAGAGATAAGCAGATAGATTATGAACAGAGGTAGAGACAGGTAGATGATATGATAGTACATAGGTACATATTTTCAAAAAATAAAAGAAGTAACAATAAAAACAATTATATATAATATATATTTATATATATTAAACTATCTATCTATTTATTTATTTATTTATTTATTTATTTATTTATTTATTTATTTATTTATTTTTGAGACAGAATCTCACTCTGTCGCCCAGGCTGGAGTGCAGTGGCGCCAACTTGGCTCACTGCAACCTCCTACTCCCGGGTTCAAGCGATTCTCCTGCCTCAGCCTCCCGAGTAGGTGAGATTACAGGTGCCCGCCTCCATGCCTGGCTAATTTTTTTTTGTATTTTTAGTAGAGACGGTGTTTCACTATGTTGGCCAGGCTGGTCTCGAACTCCTGACTTCATGATCCACCCACTTTGACCTCCCAAAGTGCTGAGATTACAGGCGTGAGCCACCGTAACCGGCCAACACAATAAAATATTTTAAAGTAACCATCTATAGGGAGAAGGGACATTCTCTGAGGATTTCTTTGACATATTTTACAGAGATTTGGCTTTGGAATCACACAAATATATAATTGTAAAATTAAATTATAAAAAGAAATCCCTAAAAATAAAAGAAAAGCAAATGGATGTAAATGTGCATTCAATTTGTGTCACAACCATCAGGAGAAATTATGCCAAGGAAGTTTAAAACATAGTAATTAATTGTGCATCTCTAGTGTAATGTGTACTGAGAACAAAAAATAACTGAAAAAAGAAATCTTAAATGGTTTCTTTAACCATGTTGTTGGTTGTATTGTCATTCTAAGAATGATGTGTGTAACAGGGGATAAAGCAAATGAATAAATTATAAGGTAAGTTGATTCAATTATTTCCAAGGCCAATGAGATGGGGGTTTCACAGGGAGTGGGCAAGATAAAGTTGTAGATAAAAGAGGTTTAAAAACAAGTCTATAATCCTGAATTTGATTTGGAAGTATCAGTATAAACTTGTGATATATTTGTCTCTAGCCTAGCTTTATCCACTACAAATGCCTAGAAACAATGACCAAACCAGTTACAAGGAGCATCCCACCAACCATATTGTGATCTTGTGTTAATATCGCCAAATCTCCTGAAAGAAACAGGGGAATGTGCAAAATAAACCTGAATAAATTATCAAAATGAGTAGTAAGGATACTAACAAACACCATAAACAATCATGTCAAAAGGTTCATGTCAACTGGAAGTGGCCCTCACTTACTCATAATAGAATAATCTGAACATCAAAAAGGATAACTGCAATGGATTGCAACGTATTGAATATATTTAAGTAACTGAATTTATAAGGATACTAAAGCAAAAATGACAACCATAAGAAAAAAAGAAAACAAATTTGTGACTGAAGAAAAAAGTCATTATTTTGAAATTTGACAAATAAGGAAAGAAGTAATCATTTATCTTCCCCATAAAATGCAAACTCTACTACTAGTAAATAAATAGTAGATGTAGGAAACACTTTTCTTTACTAAATTGTTTCAAATAATAAATGAATAAGCTATGACAGCACAGAATATGAATATTTTTCAATCCCAATGATATAATGAAACTACACATTAATTATTATGGTTGCTAGCTTCAGAAAAGGGGAAAATCAGACATAATGTGCCTCCTGATGGAGAAGCACAACTCATTTGATTAGTTTTGCCAGAACAGTAAAAGGAAGGGGAAAGGGGAAGGGAAAGAAGGTGAAGAAGAAACCTTACCAAGCCTCTAGATGTAACTACCAATTTACAGGAAATATAATAGATACAACCACATGGTCAATGGCACCATGGAGAAGCAATAAGAAAAATCTATACTGTGGCAATCACTAAAGGTAAATGATTAGTTTTTTGCTTGTTTTTTTCTAAATTTAATTTAATTTTATTTAAATTCCAGGTTAGGTTACATGTGCAGGACATGCAGGTTTGTTACATAGATAAACATATGCCATGGTGGTTTGCTGCACCTATTAAGCCATCACCTAGATATTAAACCCCACATGCATTAGCTGTTTATCCTGCTGGCTCTCCCTCTGTCTGCCCCCTGCCAACAGGCCCCAATGTTTGTTGTTCCCCTCCCTGTGTCCATATGTTTTCATTGTTCAGCTCCCACTTATAAGTGAGAATATGCGGTGTTGGATTTTCTGTTTCTGTGTTAGTTTGCTGAGGATAATGGCTTCCAGTTCCATTCACGTCCCTGTAAACTTGTTCCTTTGTATGGCTACATAGTATTCCATGGTATATATGTACCACATTTTCTTTATCCAGTCTATCATTGATGGGCATTTGGGTTGGATCCACGTCTTTGTTATTGTGAATAGTGCTGCAATGAACATACACGTGCATGTATCTTTATAATAGAACAATTTATATTCCTTTGGGTGTATACCCAGTAATAGGATTTCTGGATCAAATGGTATTTCTGCTTCCAGGTCTTTAAGGAATTGCCACACTGTCTTCCACAATGGTTGAACTAACTTACATTCCCACCACCAGTGTAAAAGCGTTCCTACTTCTCCACAGCCTTGTCAGTATCTGTTGTGTCTTGACTTTTCAATAATCACCATTCTGACAGACATGAGGTCGTATCTCATTGTGGTTTTGATTCACATTTCTGTAATGATCAGTGATATTGAGCTTTTTTTCATGTTTTTTGGCCACATTAATGTCTTCTTTTGAGCAGTGTCTGTTCATGTCCTTGGCCCACTTTTAATGTGTCTGTTTTTTTCTTGTAAATTTGCTTAAGTTCTTCGTAGATTCTGGATATTATACCTGTGTCAGCTGTGTAGATTGCAAAAATGTTATCCCATTCTGTAGGTTGCCTGTTCAATCTGATGATAGTTTCTTTTGCTGTGCAGGAGCTTTTTAGTTTAATTAGACTCCATTTGTCAATTTCTGCTTTTGTTACAATCGCTTTTTAGGTTTTGCCATGAAATCTTTCCCTGTGCCTATGTCCTGAATGATATTGCCTAGATTTTCTTCTAGGGTTTTCATAGTTTTGGGTTTTACACTTGAGACTTTAATTCATCTTGAGTTGATTTTTGTATAAGGTGTAAGGAAGGGGTCCAGTTTCAGTTTTCTGCAAATTGCTAGCCAGTTCTCCCAGCACCATTTATTAAATAGGGAATCCTTTCCCCCTTGCTTGTTTTTGTCAGGTTTGTCGAAGATCAGATGGTTGTAGATGTTTGGTCTTATTTCTGAAATCTCTATTCTGTTCCATTGGTCTATGGGTTTGTTTTGGTACTAATAGCATGCTCTTTTGGTTACGATAGCCTTGTAGTGTAGTTTGAAGTCAGGTAGGGTGATGCCTCCACCTTTATTCTTTTTACTTAGGAGTGTCTTGGCTATACGGCCTACTTTTTGGTTCCATATGAATTTTAAAGTAGATTTTTCTAGTTCTGTGAAGAATGTCAATGGTAGTTTAATAGGAATAGCATTGTATCTATAATATCTATAATTTACTTGGAGCAGTATGGCCATTTTCATGACACTGATTTTTTCTGTGCATGACCATGGAATGTTTTTCCATTTGTTTGTGTCGTCTCTGATTTTCTTGAGCAGTGTTTTGTAGTTTTCCTTGAAGAAGTCTTTCACTTTCCTTGTTAGCTACATTCCTAGGCATTTTATTCTCTTTGTTGCAATTATAAATGGTAGTTCATTAATGATTTGGCTCTCTGCTTGTCTATTTTTGGTGTATAGGAATGCACTAATTTTGTATCCTGAGACTTTGCTGAAGTTGCCTATTAGATTAGGAAGCTACTGGGATGAGAAGCTGGGGTTTTCTAGATATAGAATCATGTCATCTGCAAACAAAGACAGTTTCACTTTTCTCTTCTTATTTGAATACCTCTTCTTTCTTTCTCTTGCCTGATTGCCCTGTCCAGAACTTCTAATACTATGTCGAATAGCAGTGGTGAGAGAGGGCATCCTTGTCTTGTGCTGGTTTTGAAGGGGGATGCCTCCGGTTTTGAAGGGGGATGCTTCCAGCTTTTGTGCATTCAGTATGATATTGTCTCTGGGTTTGTCTTAAATAGCTCTTATTATTTTGATGTATGTTCCATCAATTCTTAGCTTATTAAGAGTTTTCAACACAAAGGGATGTTGAATTTTATCAAAGGCCTTTTCTGCGTCTATTGAGATAATCATGTGGATTGTTGTCTTTAGATTTGTTCATGTGATGAATTGTTTTTATTATGGCTTTTTAAAAAAAATTAAATGCAAATGACAAAAGAAAATGTGAAAATAGAATGTTAAATTAAAATACTTAAGAGACCTATCCATCAATTGCAATATTGAAATGTTTGTGAAACCAGGTATAAACATCCAATGCCTAAACAAATATATTAATGAATGATTGTTGATATTTCAAGTTTATTGTATTGTAGTTATGCTTCAAAATAGTTCTTTCCCTTAAAAAATATTTTGAAATAGTTTTTTCATGGAACTGAATACTATCTGAAATTTGATCTGAAATCATATGAAAAGGGGGAAATGCAAGGAGGTGTGGACAAAACTATATTGACACTGAATTTTAACTGTTTGAATTAATTGTTGGGTAATCAGAACATGACAGTTCATTATATTGCTTTATTTATTTTTGTACACATTGGAAAATTTTTCATAATACAAAGTTAATAAACAATAAAGTTCATGGCATTAAGTTGAAGAAAATGGCAAAATATACATGTTGCTAATAATAATAGAGTTTTAAATTTGTATGTATGTATGAGGTACATGTGATATTTTTTTACATGCATAGAATGTGTAGCAATCAAGTCAGGGTATTTGGACTATCCATCACCTACAGTATTTATCATTTCTACGTATTTGTAATATTTCAAGTCCTCTCTTCCAGCTATTTTGAAATACACAACACATTGTTTTTAACTATGGTCACTCTACTCTGCTATCGAACATTAGAAATTAATCCTTCTAACTGTATGTTGATAGCCATTAATCAATGTCTCTTTACCCTCCCTACCCCCACACACACCCTTCCTAGCCTCTGATATCTCTCATTCTACTCTCTACCTCCATAAGATCCACAATTTTAGCTCCCACATATGAATGAGAATACACAATAGTTGTCTTTCTGGGCTTGGCTTATTTCACTTAACATAATGAACTCCAGCTCCATCCATGGTGCTGCAAATGACAGAATTTTATTATTTTGGTGGCTGAATAGTATTTCATTGTGTATACATACCAGACTATCCATTTGTTTGATGATGAGCATTTAGGTTAATACCATATATTCGCTATTGTGAATACTGCTGCAATAGATCAGGTATCTCTTTTACATACTGATTTATTTTCCTGTGGATTAATGCCAAGTAGTGTGGCTGCTGAATAATAATAGTATCTATATTTGGTTTTGTGAGTTCTATTTTTAATTTTTTGAAAAATCTCCAGACTCTTTTTCACCATTGCTATACTAACTTACATTTCATCCAACAGTGTGTAAGATTTCCTTTTTCTCCACATCTTTGTCTTCATCTATTTTTTTCATCTTTTTAATGATGGCCATAATGACTGGAGTAAGATGGTATTTCACTGTGGTTTTTATTTGCGTTTCCCTGATGATGCGTGATGTTTTTTTCATATGCCTGTTGGCCATTTGTATGCTTCTCTCTCTTGAGGAATAGCTATTCATGGCCTTTGCCCTCTTTAAATGATATTTTTTTTAATTTAAACTGTTGAGTCATTTGAGTTTCTTGTATATTGTGGATATTAGTTTCTTCTTGAATTAATAGTTTGCGAATATTTTCTCCCATTCAACAGGTTGTCTCTGTACCCTGTTTATTGTGTTTTATTTTTTTTTTCTTTTCTTGTTTTTTTTCTTTTTGCTTTATAGAGGCTTTTTAGTTTAATATACACCCGTTTATCTATTTTCGTTTTGTTGTTCATGCTTTTGAGTTCCTAGTCATAAAATCTTTGCCTAGGCTAATATATTCAAGTGCTTCCTCTATGTTTTCTTCTAAGTAGTTTTATAGTTTCAGTTCTTGCATTTAAGTCTTTAATTCATTTTCAGTTGACTTTTTTAATATGATGAGAGATAAGGATCTAGTTTCATTCTTCTGCATATGGATATCCAATTATCTCAGCACCATTTATTGAAGTGGGTGTCATTTCCTCCAATCTGTGTTCCTCACACCTCTGTCAAAAATCAGTTGGCTATAAATATGTGGATTTCTGTCTGAGTGGTCTATTCTTTTTCATTGATCTATGTGGCTATATTTATACCAATACCATGTTGCTTGGGTTACTATGGTCTTGCAATATATTTTGAAGTTAGATAGTGTGATGCCTCTAGCTTTGTTCTTTTTGCTTAGGATTGTTTTCACTATCGAGGCTCTTTTGTTTTTTTTGTTTAATGCATATTTTAGGACGCTCTTTCCTATTTCTGTTAAACATGACATTGGTATTTTGGTACAGATTACATTGAATCCATAGATTGCTTTAGGCAGCATGGTCTCTTAACAATATTAATTATTCTGACTCATGAGCATGGAATGTCTTCCCATTGTTTATGTCCTTTTCATTTTCTTTCATAAGTGTCTTGCGGTTTTTCTTGTAGAGATATTTCACTTCTTTTGTTAAATTTATTCCTAGGTGTTTTATTATTTTTGTGGCAATTGAAAATAGGTTTCCCTTTTTTATTTCTTTCTTAGCTAGTTTATTATTAGTTTTTACAAAAGCTACTGATTTTTCTTATGTTGATTTTGTTTTCTGATACTCTATTTATTTACCAGATCTAAGAGTTTTTCTGGTGCTGTCTTTAAGTTTTCTAGACATAATATTGCATCATTTGCAAAAAGGACAATTGGACTTCCTCTTTTCCAATTTGGATACCTTTTCTTTCTTTCTCTTGCCTTATTACTCTAGTCAGGGCTTTCATTACTATGTTGAATAAGAGTGGTGAAAGTGGACATCCTCGTCTTGCTCTAGTTCATAGAAGAAAGGCTTTCAGCTTTTCCCCATTTAGTATGATGTCAGCTGTGAGTTTGTCATATATAGCCTTTATTAAATTGAGGTATGCATATTCAATGCTTAGTATGTTGGGAGTTTTTATCACAAAGGGATGTTGAATTGTATAAAATGCTTCTTCTGCATCTATTGAGACAATCATAAAGTTTTTGTCCTGTTGATGAGATGTATCACATTTATTCATTTGCATATATTGAACCATCCTTGCATCCCTGGTATAAATCTCACTTGGTTATATTATATTATCTTTTTTGTGTTGTTAGATTTATTTTTCTAGTATATGAGGAGGATTCTGCATCAGGCATATTGGCCTATAGATTTCATTGTTGCATACTTGTCTGGTTTTGGAATCAAGGTAATCCCGGCCTCACAGAATGAGTTAGGGAGACTCTTCTCCTCTTTAATTTTTTTAAATGATTGAAGAGAATTGGTTCACCTTTGAAAGTTTAGTAGAATTTTTCAGTGAAGCCATCTACTCCTGTACTTTTCTTAGTTGAGAGACTTTTTAATGCTGATTCAATCTGAATACTTGTAATTGGTCTGTTCAACTTTTCTATTTCTTCCTTATTCAATTTTGGCAGGTTGTATGTTTCCAGGAATTTATTAATTTCCTACAGGTTTTCTAGTTTCTGAGCATATAGTTGTTCATAGTAGTCTCAAATAATCTTTTGTACTTCTGTGATATCCGTTGTAATGTCCTCTTCTTTATCTTTAATTTTGGGTCTTTTCTTTTTTGCTTGGTTACTCTAGTTTTTGGTTTATTGATTTTATTTTTTCAAAAAGCAAACATTTGTTTTGTTCATCCTTTGTATTTTTTTAGTCTCTATTTCATTAACTTTTGTTATGACCTTTTTAATTTTCTTCCTTCTATTTATTTGAGATTTGGTTTGTTTGTGCTTTTCTAATTCCTTGAGGTACATTGTTAAGTAGTTTATTTGAAATGTTTTGGGAGGCTGGCCAAGTTGGCTGACTAGAAGCAGCTACTGTGTGCCACTCTGATAAAAGAAATAGAAGGAGTGAGTAAATACAGTACTTTCAACTGAAACATTCAAGTACATGCACTGGGATCCTCAAAAACACAACTCAGCCAATGGAGAATAGAAAAAAGCAAGGCAGCCAGACTGCCCACCTGGGAGCAACATGGAGCCAGGAGAGCCTCTCTCACCAGGAGAAGTGGTAAGTGAGTGTGCCACCCTAGGGACCCACATATTTTTGCAACTCTTAGGTCAGGAGATCTCCTTGTGAACCCACTCCATGAAGATGATAGTCCAACACACAAATCTATGTGGAGTCTCAGCAGAGCACCAGGCTCTGCATGTGAAGCCCTGGAAGCTTTAGACACCTGAGCTTCCTGGCAAAAGTGGCTGGAACTGTAGCAAAGTGGGAGGTCACATACCCTTAGTAAAGGGGTTGAATCCAGAAGGTTGAGCAGTGACAGTCTGTAGGTCCTGCTTTCATTGAAGCTTCCAAAATAAGAGTCCTGGCTTGGAACTCCAGCCACCCACTGGTAGCAGCTCTACACCACCCTGGAAGGGAGCTCCCAGAGTGGGAGGGGAGGTTGCCATCTTTACTGTTCACAACCTTAGCTGTTGTTACCTTCAGTGCAGCTGCCCTGTGAAAAAGTGGCCAGACCATATTTTCACGCGAGTCTCTAACCCTGCTTCTCCTCACTGGGCAGAACCTCCTGACCAGGGGTCACCAGCCAACCTCGCCAGTATTTTCCTGCTGGCAGTGGTTGTGAGCCTCCCTGGGATAGAGCTCCCAGGGGAGAGATTGGTTGTCATATTTGCTGTTTCACAGCCTTATTCTTCGTTGTCTTCAGGCTCTAGGGACTCCTAGATGACTAGGAACTGGAGCAAGCTGCAGACATAGCCCAGCAGCTCTACAGAGAAGTGGCCAGACTACTTTTTCAAACAAGTTCCAGAACCCACTTCTCTTCAGTGGGCAGAATTTCTTGACTGAACTCTGCAACCACACCACCAGTGTTTCTGGCAAGCAACAGTTTCAAAACTCCTTGGGATGAAGCTTCCTGGGGACAGGTATGTGTGGGGGTGTTGGCTACCGTATTTGCTGTTTTGAAGCCTTGGCCATTGTTGCCTTTGGGAGTGGAGAGTCTGAAATGACTGAAGGCTAAATCAGACCCCCAACACAGCACAACTGCTTTAAAAAAAAAGCAGCAAGAGTGATTTTTAGTTTGAGTGCCTAATCCCATTCTTTCTCACTCATCAAGACCTCCAAACCAGGGTGTTTAGCAGCCCCTGCCAGTGTTTTCTGCACAAGAGCAGTTTCAAACCTCCCTGGGATAGAGCTCCCAGAGAGAGGGGCAGTCCACCATCTTTGCTGTTTTGCAGCCTTCACTGTTGATATCTTCAGAAGCTAGAAAACCCAAGATAGCTAGGGACTGGAATGGACGGACCCTCAGCATACTGTAGCAGCCTTATGAAAAAGTGGCAAGTCTGTCTGTTAGATACCTGGACTTCTGTATCTCCTCTGTATCTCCTCACTGGGTAGGTTCTCCCAGACTGAGTCTCTAGTCACTCCCTTCTAAGGCTATGGAGCCAGTAGCAGCTCTGCAACTCCCTGGGATAAAGCCCCCTTTGCCATTTTTGCTGTCTCACAGCCCTCACCCTTACTGTCTCCAGGCTCTGGAAAGCCCATGGGGACCAGGGGCTGATTCAGACCCCCAGCACAGAGTACCCTCCTCAAAGAAAAGTAGGCAGACTGTTCCTGCCTGACCTGGACCTCCAGTACAATGACCCTGCTCCAGTCTGACCTCGTAGATCAGAGGCAGCCCAGTAGTTAAAGGAGTACTAACATGCAGAGATGAGAAAGAACCAACACAAAAACTCCAGCAACTCAAATGGCCAGAGTGTCTTATGTCCCTCAAATGACCACAGTTGTTCTCCCACAAGGGTTCTTATCCAGTCTGAGTTGGCTGAAATGACAGAAATAGAATCCAGAATGTGAATAGAAATGAAGATCATCAAGATTGAGAAGAATGGCAAATTTTAATATAAGAAAACTAAGAACCATAATGAAATGATGCTGGTGCTGACATGAAACAGTCAGTATATAAAAATATGCTAACTGATATGATAGAGCTGAAAAACAAACTATAAGAATTTCACAATGCAATTGCCAGTATCAACAGCAGAATAAATGAAGCTGAGGAAAGAATCTCAGAACTTGAAGACTGCCTCTCCAAAATAACACAGTCAGACAGAAATAAAGAAAAAAGAATTAAAAAAAAAATAAGCAAACCCTTTGAGAAATATGGGATTAGATATACAGACCAAATCTATGAATTATTGGCATCCCTAAAAAGGACAGGGACAAAGCAAACAACTTAGAAAACATATTTCAGAAAATGATTCATAAACATTTCCCCAATCTTGTTAGAGAGAACAACAGTCAAATTCAGGAAATACAAAGATTTCCTGCAGATTTTACGCAAAAAGATTATCCCCATGACACATAATTATTAGATTTTTTTAAGGTTGAAATGAAAGAAAGGATGTTAAAGGCAGCTAGAGAAAAAAGTCAGATCTTCTACATAGGGAATTCTATCAAGGTAACAGCAGACCTCTCTGCAGAAACTATACAATCCACAAAAGATTGGGTGCCTATATTCAACATTCTTAAAGAAAACAATCTTAAATTAAAAATTTCATATTCAGCCAAACTAAATTTTCTCTGCAAAGAATAAATAAGATCCTTTTCAGGTAAGCAAATGCTGAGGGAGTTTATTATCACCAGACCTGCCTTACAAGAGATCTTTCAAGGAACACTAAATATGGAAAGGAAAGATTATTACCAGCCAATAAAAAAACACACTTAAGTACGCAGATGAATGAGACTGTGAAGCAAACACACAAACAAGCCAGCATAATAGCCAGCTAAAAACACCATGACAAGGTTAAATCCACACATATCACTAGTAACCTTAAATATAAATGGGCTTAATGCGCCATTTAAAAGGCACAAAGTGTTAAGCTGAATAAAAAAGCAAGACCCAATGGTATGCTGTCTTCAAGAGACCCATGTCACATGCAATGATATTCATAGACTCAAAAGAAAGAAATGGAAAAAAATCCACCAGCAAAGAGAAATCAGAACAAAGCAGGGGCTACAATCCTAATTTCAGACAAAACATACTTAAAACCAACAAAGTTCAAAGAAAATTAATAAAAGAAGGACATCATATATGCTAGTAAAGAGCTCCATCAAACATGCAGACCCAACTGTCCTAAATATACACACACCCAACACAGGAGCACCCAGTTTCATAGAGCAAGTTTTTAGAGATGTGCAAAGAGACTTGGGATCCCACACAATAATACTGAGACTCTTAAATACTCCACTGACAGTATTAGACTGATTGAGAAAGAAAATTAACAGAGTTATTCAGGACCTGAACTCAACATTGGACCAAAAGGATCTGATAGAACTCTGTAGAACACTACATCCCAAAACAAGAGAGTATGCATTCTTCACATTGACATATGGCACATACTCTAAAATCGACCACACAATCTGACATAAAACAATCCTCAGGAAATGCAAAAAAAAAAAAAAAAAACCAAAATCATACCAAATCTATGTTTGGATCAGAGCACGATAAAAATAGAAGTCAAGAATAAAATAATTGCTCAAAACCATGCAATTACATGGAAATTAAACAACCTGCTCCCAGATGACTTTGGGGTAAATAATAAAATTAAAGTTGGAATCAAGAAGTTCTTTGAAACTAATAAGAACAAAGATACAACATGCCAGAATCTCTGGGACACAGCTAAGGCAGTGTTTAGAGGGAAATGTATAGCACTAAATGCCCATATAAGAAACTTAGAAAGATCTCAAATTAACCTAACATTACAACTGAAAGATCTAGAGAAGCAAAAGCAAACCAATGCCATAGCTAGCAGAAGAAAAGAAATAACCAAAATCAGAGCCGAACTACAGGAGATTGAAAGATGAAAAATCATTTGAAAGTTCAGTTAAACCAAGAGTTGGTTTTTAGAAAAAATTAGTAAGATAGATAGGCTACTAGCTAGACTGATAAAGAAGAAAGGAGAGAAGATCCAAATAAACACAATTAGAAATGACAAAAGGGATGTTACCACTGACCCAACAGAAGTACAACCAACAGAGACTACTAGAAACCGCTCTATGCACACAAACCATAAAACCTAGAAGAGATGAATAAATTCCTAGAAACACACACCATCCCAAGATTGAACCAGGAAGAAATTAATTCTCTGAACAGACCAGTAACAGGCTCTGAAATTGAATCAGTAATAAATAACCTACCAACCAAAAAAAAATCCAGAACTAGACAAATTCATCCATGAATTCTACCAGATATACAAAGAACAACTGGTACCATTCCTACTGAAACTATTTCAAAAAATTAGTAGGAAGAACTCCTCCCCCATTCATTCTGTGAGGCTAGTATCACCCTGATACCAAAATCCAGCAGGGGAAAAAAAAAAAAGAAAACTTCACGCCAACATCCTTGAAGAACATTGATGCAAAAATACTCAACAAAATACTTGCAAACCGAATCCATCAGCACATCAAAAATCTAGTCTAATACCATCAAGTAGGCTTTATTTCTGGGATGCATGGTTTGTTCAACATAGGCAAATCAATAAATGTTATTCATCACATAAACAGAACTAAATACAAAAACCTTATGATTATCTCAAAAGATGCAGAAAAGGCATTCAAGGAAATTCAGCATCCCTTCATGATAAAAACTCTCAATAAACGAGATATTGAGAAGTATACATCAAAATCTTGAGAGGCATCTATGAAAAGCCCACAGCCAACATCGTACTGAATGGGCAAAAGCTGGAAGCATTGCCCTTCAAGACCGGTACAAGACAAGTATGCCCTCTCTCATTACTCTTATACAACATAATATTGGAAGCCCTGGCCAGAGCAACCAGAAAAGAGAAAGAAATAATGGGCATCCAAATAAGAGAAAGAAAGTCAAAATATTTATTTTAAGATTACATGATTCTATATCTGGTAAACCCTATAGTTTTGGCTCAAAATCTCCTTCAGCAGATAAACAATTTCAGCAAAATCTCATGACACAAAGTCAACGTACAAAAATCACTAGTATTCTTACACAAAAACAACAGCCAGGCTGAGAGCCAAATCAGGAATACAATCCTGTGTACAATTTCCACAAAAAGAATAAAATACCAAGGAATACAGCTCACCAGGGAGGTGAAAGATCTCTACAATGAGAATTACAAAGCACTGCTTAAAGAAATCAGACATGACACAAACAGATAGAGAAACATCCCATGTTCACTGATAGGAAAAAATCAATATCATTAAAATGCCATACTGCCCAAAGCAATTTACAGATGTAATACTGTTTCTAGCAAATTACCAATGACATTCTTCATGGAATTTGAAAAAAACTATTTTAAAATTCATGTGAAACCAGAGAGGCCAAATAGCCAAAGAAATCCTGAGCAAAAAGAATAGAGTTGGAGGCCTCATGTTACCTGACTTCAAACTATACTACAGGGCTACAGTAACCAAAAGAGCATGGTAATGGTACAAAAAGAGGCATATAGACCAATGGAACAGAACAGTGAGCCCAGGAATAAGGGCACACACCTAAGCCATCTGGTCTTTCACAAAGCTGACAAAAGCAAGCAATGGAGAGAGGTCTCCCTATTCGATTAATGGTGGTAAGATACCTGGCTAGCCATATGCAGAAAATTAAAACTGGGCCTCTTCATTACACCATATACAAAGATGGTGTAACAACCTTGATGTAAACCCCAAGAGTATAAAAACTATGGAAGACAACCTAGGTGATACCATTCTGGACATAGGAATTGGCAAAGATTTCATGACGAATACATCAAAAGCAACTTCAACAAAATCAAAAATTGACAAACGAGGTCTAGTTAAGTTTAAGAACTTCTGCCCAGAAAAAGAAATTTTCAACAGAGTAAACAGACAACCTACACAGTGGGAGAAAATATTTGCAAATTATGTATCTGATAAAGGTCTAACATCCAGGATCATTAAGGAACTTAAATTTATAAGAAAAAACAAACTCATTAAAAACTGGGCAAAGAACATTAACACTTTTCAAAAGAAGACATACATGTGGCCAAAAAGCATATTTTAAAAAGCTCAATAAGACTGACCATTAGAGAAATACAAATCAAAACCACAATGAGATACTATCTCACTCGAGTCAAAATGACTATAATGAAAATTTCAAACAATAACAGAATCTTGTGAGGTTGCAGAGAAAAGGGAATGCTTTCAAACTGTTGGTGGTAGTGTAAATTAATTCAACCATTGTGGAAAGCAGTGTGGTGATTCCTCAAGTAGCTAAAAACAGAACTACCATTTGACCCAGCAATCTCATTACTGGGTATATACCCAAAGGAATTGTGATGGTTAATATTGAGTGTCAACTTGATTGGATTGAAGGATGGAAAGTATAGTTCCTGTGTGTGTCTATGAGGGTGTTGCCAAAGGAGATTAACATTTGAGTCAGTGAACTAGGAGAGGCAGACCCACCCTCAATCTGGGTGGCCATGATATAATGAATTGCCAGTGTGGCTAGGATAAAAGCAGCCTGAGGAACATGGAAGGACTAAACTGGCTAAGTCTTTGGTCTCCATCTTCCTCCTGTGCTAGATGCTTCCTACACTCAAACAGTGGACTCCAGGTTGTTCAGCTTTTGGACTTTGGAATTACACTTGTGGTTCGCCAGAGGCTTACAGGTCTTTGGACACAGACTGAAGGCTGCACTGTCAGCTTCCCAAATTTTGAGGTTTGAGGGCTCAGACTTGCTTTCTTGCTCCTCAGCTTGCAGACAGCCTATTGTGGGACTTCACCATGTAATCATGTGAGACAATACTCCTTAATAAACCCCCTGTCATGTATACATCTATCCTATTAGTCCTGCCTCTCTAGAGAACCCTAATACAGCAATATAAATTGTTCCATCAAAAGACACATGCACACATATGTTCACTGCAGCACTATTCACAATAGCAAAGACATGGAATCAGCACAAATGCCCATCAATGGTAGAGTGGATAAAGAAAATGTGATATGTATATACCATGGTATACTCTACAGTCATAAAAAAGAATGAGATCATGTCCTTTGCAGGAACATGGATGAAGTTGGAGGCCATTATCCTTAGCAACTTACAATGCAGGAACAGAAAATCAAATACTGCATGTTCTCACTTTTAAGTGGGAGGTAAATGATGAAAACACATGGATACATATAGGTGAACAGCAGAGACTGGGGCCTACTTGAGGGTGGAGGGTGGCAGGAGGAAGAAGATCAGAAAAATATCTTCTGGGTACTAAGCCTAGTACCTGGGTGATGAAATAATCTATACAACAACTACCTGTGACCCAAATTTACCTATGTAATAAACCTGCATGTGTACCCCTGAACCTAAAATAAAGGTTAAAGAAATAGAAAAAATAAGACAAAAAATGCAATGTTTCTACATTTTAAATTTAATTACATGTAAGTTTCTATAAAGTCCCATCTTAGCATACTTTTGCTATATCTCATAGGTTTTGGTCTCTGTGTTTTGATATTCATATGTTCCAAAAAATTGTTAATAATTTTCTCCTTAATTTTTTCATTGAACTAATTGCCATTCAGGGACATCTTGTTTAATTTACACATATTTACACAGTTTCCAAAGTTCCCGTTGTTATTGATTTCTAGATTATTTTTTATTGTTGCCTGAGAAAATACTTGACATGATTTTGATTTGTAAAACATTTGTTGGGACTTCTTTTGTGTCCTAACATATGGTATATCTTTGAAAATGTTCCATGTGGTGATGAGAAGAATGTGTATACTGTAATTTTGGATTAAATATGCTGTAAATGTCTTTTAGGTCCATTTGGTCTAATGTGCAATTTAAATTCAATGTTTCATTGATTTCCTGTCTAGGTAATGTGTCTAATGCTGAGTTTGGGGTGTTGAAATCCCCCACAATTATTGTTTTGAGTCTATTTTTCTCTTTAGATCTCACAATATTTGCTTTACATATATTGATATTCTGGCGATGGATGCCTACATGTCCAGGATAGTTATATTTTCTGGCTTAATTGATCCCTTTTTCATTGTATAATCACCTTCTTTGTCTCTTTTTACCATTTTGACTTAAGGTCTGTTTTATCTGACATAAATATAGCTACTTATACTTACTTTTATTTTACATTTGCATAAAATATCTTTTTCCATCTTTCTTTGAGCCTACATATGTCTTTACAGGTGAAATGAGTTTCTTATAAGGCAGCACAGAGTTGAATAATGTTTTCATTTTTGTTTTCCACTTACTAGCCAGTCTATATATTTTAAGTGGAATGTTTAATCTGTTACATTCAAGCTTATTATTGATATAGGAGGGCTTATTCCAATTATTTTGTTAATTGACTTCTACTTGTTTTGTCTACCACTTGTTTCTTTCTCTCTCTCCTATTATTACTGTGGTTTGGGTCTGGGTCCCCACCCAAATCTCATGTCAAATTGTAATCCATAGCGATGGAGGTGGGGCCTGGTGGAGGTGATTGGATCATGGGGGCAGATTTCCCTTTTGGTGCTGTTCTCATGAGAGTGAGTGAGTTATCGTGTGATCTGGTTGTTGAAAACTGTGTAGCACCTCCCCCCTCTCTCTCTTCCTCCTGCTCTAGCCATGAAAGATTTACCTGCTTCCCCTTGGCCTTCCACCATGATTGAAAGTTTCCAAGGTCTTCCCAGAAGCCATCATGCTTCCTGTACAGCCTGTGAAACCATGAGTCAGTTAAGCCAATTCTTTCCTTTACACATTACTCGGTTTCAGGTATCTCTCTATAGCAGTGCAAGAATGGACTAATACAGTGGTTTTCTGTAGCAGTCTCACATGAGTCTTTTCCTCATTTGTGTGTTTTCTCCTCTAGTGGGTTTGTAGACTTTCATGTCTTTTTGTAATAATTAGATATTGTCCTTTGGCTTCCAGGTATAGGACTCCCTTAAGATTTTCTTGCTGGGCCAGTCTAGATAGAGGTGACAAAATCCCTCAGATTTTCCTGTCTTGGAAAAATGTTATTTTCCCTTCATTTGTGAAGGACAACTTTGGTGAATATAGTATCTTTGGCAGATAGATATTGTCTTTTTAAAACTTTGAAAATATTATCTCATTTTCTCCCAGCTTGTAAGATCCCTGCTGATAAATCAATTGACTGTTAATCTGAAGGGAGTTCCTGATAAGTCACTAGATGCTTTTCTCTTTCTGTTTTCAGAGTTCTCTCTTTGTCTTAGACTTTTGACAGTTTGACCATAATGTGTCATGGAGACATTTTTCTTGGTATCTGTTTGAGGACTTCCCGGCTTTGTTTAAATCTTTAGCTAAATCTTGGAAGTTTTCAGATTTAATTTGACTTTATTTTTTCAACTTTTATTTTAGATGTAGAGCATATAAATGCAAGCTTGTTATACGGATAAATTACATGTTGAGGGGGTTTGATGTGTGGATTATTTCATTACCATACAATAAGTATAGTACCAAATAGGCATTTTTTCTATATTCACACTCCTCCACTCTTAAGTAGGTCCCAGTTTCTATCGTAACTTTTTTTGTGTTCATGTGTTCTGAATGTTTAGATCCCACTTATAAGTGAGAATATGCAGTATTTGGTTTTCTGTTCCTATGTTAATTTGCTTAGGATAATGGCCTCCAGCTCCCCTCATGTTGCTGCAAAGGACGTGGTCTCATTCTGTTTTAGGGCTACGTAATATTTCATGGTGTATATGTACCACATTTGCTTTATCCAATCCACTGTTGATGGGCACCTAGTTTCTATGTCTTTGTTTTTGGGAACAGCTGGTGATGAATATAGACATGCATGTGTTTTTATGTTAGAACGACTTATATTTCTTTGAATATATACCCAGGAATGAGATTGCTGGGTCAAATGGTAGTTCTGTTTTCAGTTCTTTGAAAAATCAAACTGCTTTCCACAGTGGATGAACTAATTTGTGTTCCTACCAGCAGTGTATAAGCATTCCCTTTTCCCTACAATCTCACCAGCATGTTATTTTTTGACTTTTCATTAATAGCCATTCTGTCTAGTGTGAAATGTTATCTCATTGTGATTTTGATTTGCATTTCTCTAATGAGTGGTCCTGTTGAGCATTTTTTTCATATGCTTGTTGGCTGTGTGATGTCTTCTTTTGAGAAGTATCTGTTCATGTCTTTTTCCCAATTTTTAATGAGGTTGTTTGATTTTCCTTGTTAATTTGTTTAAGTTCATTATATATTCTGCATATTAGACCTTTGTTGAATGCATAGTTTGCAAATATTTTCTCCCATTCTGTAGGTGGTCTATTTATTCTGTTGATAGTTTCTCTTGTTGTACAGAAGCCCTTTAGTTTAATTAGGTCTCACTTGTCAATTTTTGGTTTTGTTTCAATTGCTTTTCAGAACTTAGTCATAAATCCTTTGCCAAGGCTTATTTTCAGAACAGTATTTCCTAGGTTTTCCTCTATGGCTTTTATTGTTTTGGGCTTCACATTTAAGTCTTTAATCCATGTTGATTTTATTTTCATGTATAGTGAAAAAAAGTTTCAATCTTCTGTGTATGGCTAGCCAGTTATCCCAGGACCATTTATTGAATAGGGTGTCCTTTTGCCTTTTTCCTGTTTATGTTGATTTTGTCAAAGATCAGATGGTTGAAGGTGTTCAACATTATTTCTGGGTTCTGTATTCCGTTCCCTTGGTCTATGAGTCTCTTTTGTATCACTATCATGCTGTCTTGGTTACTGTAGCCTTCTTGTGTAGTTTGAAGTCAGGTAATGTGATGCCTCTGGCTTTGTTCTTTTCACGTAGGATTGCTTTGGCTATTCGGGAGTTCCCAAGAAAGAACTAAAAGAAATGGGATGTAAATTTTAGGATAGTGTTTTTCTAATTCTATGAAAATAGTTTTTGGTATTTTGATAGGAATACCACTGTATTAATAAATTGCTTTAGGCCGTATGGCCATTTTAACAATATCTTTTCTTCCTATCATGAGCATCAGATGTTTTTTCATTTGTTGTGTCATCTCTGACTTCTTTCAGCAGTGTTTTGTCATTCTCATTGTAGAGCTCTTTCACTTCCCTGTTTAGTTGTTTTCCTAGGGGTGTGTGTGTGTGTGCACGTGTGTGTGTGTTGTGACTGAGATTGAATTCTTGATTTGGTTCTCAGTATGAACGTCGTTAGTGTATACAAATGCTACTCATTTTGTACATTGATTTTGTATCCTGAAACTTTGCTAAAGTTAATCAGATCAAGGAATTTTTGGGTAGAGACTGGGGGTTTCTACGTATAAAATTATATTGTCTGTGAGGAGAGATATTTTGACTTCCTCTCTTCATATTTGGATGCTTTTTACTTATCTCTCTTGACTAATTACTCTGACTAGGACTTCCAGTGTTATGTTGAGTAGGAGTGGTGATAGTGGGCATCCTTGTTCTGGATCTTAAGAGGAACACTTCCAGCTTTGCCCACTCACTTTGATGATGACTGTGGGTTTGTCATAGATGGCTTTTTTTAAAGCATGTTTCTTCGATTTCTAGTTTGTCGAAGGTTTATAACATGAAGAAATGTTGAGTTTTGTCTAAAGCCTTTTCTGTGTCTATTGAGACGATCATATGGTTTTTTGTTTTTAGTTCTGTTTATGTGATGAATCACATTTATCGATTTGTGTATGTTGAACCAAAATTGCAAACCTCGAATAAAGCCTACTTGATCTTGGTGGAACAGCTTTTCGACGTGCTGCCGAATTTCGTCTGCTAGTATTTTATTGAAGATTTTTGTAACTATGTTCATAATGAATATTTGCCTGATGTTTTCTGTTCTTGTTGTCTCTACCAGGTTTTGATATCAGAATGATGCCGGTCTCAAAGAATGAGTTAGAGAGGAATCCCTCCTCCTCAACTTTTCAAAATAGTTTTAGTAGGATTAATACAAACTCTTCTTGATAAATCTAGTAGAATTCAGCTGTGAATCCATCTGGTCCAGGCCTTTTTTTGGTTGCTAGGCTTTTTATTACTCAATCAATTTCAGATCTCATTACTGGTTTATTCAGAATTTCAATTTTTTTTCCTGGTTCAATCTTAGGAGGTTTTATGTTTCTAGGAATTTATCTCTTTATACTAGGTTTTCTAGTTTGTAGGCATAGCATTGCTCATAATAGTTACTGAAAGGTTCTTGTATTTCTGTTGTGCTGGTGGTAATGTTCCCTTTGACGTTTCTAATTTTATTTGATTATTTTGTTTTTTCTTTATTAAGCTAGCTAGCAATCCATCACTCGTATTTATTCTTTCAAAAAATGAACTTTGGGTTTTGCTGATCTTTTGTATGGTTTTTCATGTCTCAATTTCATTTACTTGAGCTCTGATTTTGATTATCCTTTCTTCTGCTAGCTTTGAGGTTGGTTTGCTCTTTTTTTCTACTTCCTCTAGTTATGACATCAGGTTGTTAATTTGAGATTTTCTTCACTTTTTTATTTTTATTTTTAAGTTCTGGGGTACATTTGCAGGATGTGCAGGTTTGTTATGTAGGTAAATGTGTGCCACGGTGGTTTGCCACACCTATCAACCCATTATTTAAGTGTTAAACCCCACGTGCATTAGCTGTTTATCCTAATACTATCCCTCCCTAGAACTTCCCAACAGGCCCCATTGTGGGTTGTTCCCCTCCATGTGTACATGTGTTCTCATCGTTCGGCTCCCACTTATAAATTAGAATATGCAGTGTCTGGTTTTCTGTTCCTGTGTTAGTCTGCTATGGATAATGGCTTCCAGCTCCATCCATGTCCCTGCAAAGGACCTAATCTTTTTTTTCATGTCTGCATAGTATTCCATGATGTATATGTACCACATTTTCTTTATCCAGTCTATCATTTATTGGCATTGGGGTTGATTCCATGTCTATGCTATTGTACTTAGTGCTGCAATGAACATACACATGCATGTATCTTTGTAATAGAATGATTTATATTCTTTGGGTATATACCCAGTAATGAGATTGCTGGGTCCAATGATATTTCTGGTTCTAGATCTTTAAGGAATCGCTATACTGTCTTCCACAATGGCTGAACTAATTTACATTCCCACCAATAGTGTAAAAGCATTCCTATTTCTCCGCGACCTCACCAGCATCTGTTGTTTTTTGACGTTTTGATAATAAATAGTCTGACTGGTGTGAGATGGTATATCATTGGGATTTTGATTTGCATTTCTCTAATGATCAGTGATGTTGAGCTTTTTTTCATATGTCTTTTGGTCACATTCATGTCTTCTTTTGAGAAGTGTCTGTTCATGTCCTTTGCCCACTTTTTAATGGTATTATTTTTTTCTTGTAAAGTTGAGGTTCTTGTTTAAATTCCTTGTCGATTCTGGATATTAAGCCTTTGTCAGAAGGATAGATTACAAAAGTTTTCTTCCACTCTGTAGGTGGCCCGTTTACTCTGATAATAGTCTCTTTTGCTGTGCAGGAGTTTTTTAGTTTAATTAGATACCATTTGTCAATTTTTACTTTTGTGGCAATTGCTTTTGGCAATTTCATCATGAACTCTTCTCACTTGCCTATGTCCTAAATGGTTTTGTCTAGATTTTCTCCTAGGGTTTTTATAGTTTTGGGTTTTATATTTAAGCCTTTAATTCATCTTGAGTTAATTTTTGTGTAAGATGTAAGGAAGGGATTCAGTTTCAATTTTCTGCATATGGCTAGCCAGCTTACCCAGCACAATTTATTAAGTAGGGAATCCTTTCCCCATTGCTTGTTTTTGTCAGGTTTGTCAAAGATCAGATGGTTGTAGATGTGCAGTCTTTTTTCGAGTTCTCTATTTTGTTCCGTTGGATGCAAAGAGGAGCTAATACTCTTTCTTCTGAAACTATTCCAAACAATTATAAAAGAGGAACTCCTTCCTAACTCATTCTATGAAGTCAGCATCATCCTGAAACCAAAAGCTGGTAGAGATACAACAACAAAAAAAAAGAAAACAAAAGAAAGAAGGAAAGAAAGAAAGAAAGACAGAGAGAGAAAGAAAGAAAGAAAGGAAAGAAAGAAAGAAAGAAAGAAAGAAAGAAAGAAAGAAAGAAAGAAAGAAAGAAAAAGAAAACTTCGGGCCAATATTCCTGATGAACATTGATGCAAAAAGTCTCAATAAAATTCTGACAAACTGAATATAGTAGCACACCAAAAAGTTTATCCACCACCATCAAGTTGGCTTCATCCAAGGGTGGTTCAACATACACAAATCAATAAATGTAATTCATCACATAAACAGATCTAAAGACAAAAACTTCATGATTATTTCAATAGACACAGAAAAGGTCTTCAACAAAATTCAACATCCCTTCATGTTAAAAACTCTCCATAACCTAGGTATTGAAGAAACTTACCTCAAAATAGTGAGAACCATTATGACAAACCCACAGCCAATATACTGATGAGCAAAAGCTAGAAGCACTCCCCTTGAAAACTGGCACAAGACAAGGATGCCCTCTCTCACCACTGCTAGTCAACATAGTATTGGAAGTTCTGGCCATGGCAATCAGGCTACAGAAAGAAAGAAAGGGTATTCAAATAAGAAGAGAGGCAGTCAAATTGTCTTTTCAGATGGCATGATCCAATATTTAGAAAACCTCATCATTTCAGCCCCAAATCTTCTTAAGCTTATAAGCAACTTCAGCAAAGTCTCTATGATTTTATAAAATCAATGTGCAAAAGTCACAAGCATTTCTATGCACCAACAGCAGTCAAGCACAGAGCCAAATAATGAATGAACTCCCATTCATTATTGCTAGAAAGAGAATAAAATACCTGAGAATACAGCTAACAAGGGAAATGAAGGACCTCCTTGAAGAGAGCTACAAACCACTGCTCAAGGAAATCAGAGAGGACAAAAACAAATGGAAAAACATTCCATGCTTATGGATAGGAAGAATCAATATTGTGAAAATGGCCATACTGCCCAAAGTAATTTATAGATTCAATGCTATTCCTATTAAACTATGCTTGACATTGTTTACAGAATTAGAAGAAACTATTTTAAAATTCATATGAAACCAAAAATAGCTCACATAGCCAACACAATCCTAAGCATAAAGAACAAAGCTGGAGACATCATGCTACCCAACTTCAAACTGTGCTACAAGGCTATAGTAACCAAAACAGCATGGTACTGGTACAAAAACAGACACATAAACCAATTTTTCTGACTTTTTGATGTACGATTTTAGCACTACAAGCTTTTCTCTTAACCCAGCTTTAGCTGTGTGCCAGAGATTATGGTATGTTGTATCTTTGGTTTCTTTAGTTTTAAATAATTATTGATTTCTAACTTAATTTTATTGTTACTATAAAGTCATTTAGAAGGTGTCTGTTTTATTTCCATATCATTGTGTGGTTTTGAGAACTCTTCTTACTATCGATTTCTATTTTTATTGCACTATGATCTGAAAGTATGATTGGTGTGATTTTGGCTTTTATAAATTTGTGGATATTGTTTTATGGCTGATTGTGTGGTAAATTTTAAGTTATGTACCATGTCCAGATAAGAACAATGTATTTTCTATTGTTGGTTGGAGTGTTCTGCGGGTGATGTTAGGTCCATATGATCAAGTGTCGAGTTCAGGTTCTAAATATCTTTGTCAGTTTTCTGCATTGATGGTCTGTCTAATATTGTAGGTGGGGTGTTGAAGTCTCTCACTATTATTGTGTGGTTATCTAAGTCTCTTTGTAGGTCTCTAAGAACTTGTTTCATAAATCTGGGTTCTCCAGTGTTGTGTTCATATATATAATATAATTAAGTCTTCTTGCTGAATTGAACCCATTATTGTAATGTAATACCGTTCCTGGTCTTTTTTGAGCAGTATTGTTTTAATATGTGTCTTGTCTGGAATTAAAATAACAACCCTTGCTTTCTTATGTTTTTCATTTGCTTATTGAGTGTTTTCCCATTTCTTTACTTTGAGGCTACAGATGTCTTTGCATGTCAGATGAGTCTCTTGAAGACAGCAGACAGTTTTGTCTTTCTTCTTTATCCAAATTGCCACTCTGTGCCTTTAAAATGGGACATCTAACCCATTTACATTCAAGGTTAATATTGATATGTGCAGATTTGATTCCATCATTGTGTTGTTAGCTGGTTGTTACAGAGACTTAATTTTGTAGTCACTTAATAGTGTCAATGGTCTATGTACAAAAGTGTGTTTTTGTGGTGGCTGGAAACCATCTTTCATTTCTGTTTAGCACTCCCTTAAGGACCACTTGTAAGGCTTGTCTAGTGATAATAAATTATCTTAGCATTTGCTCATCTGAAAAGGGTCTTATTTCTCATTCACATATGAAGCTTAGTTTGGCTGGATACAAAATTACCAGCTGGAATTTCTTTTTTTTTTTTTTTGGAAAAAAAAAATGGGCTTCCCTTTTTTGTTGACCTTCCACTTCTCTCTAGTTGTCTTTAATACTTTTTCTTTCACATTGTCCTTGGAGAATATGATGACTGAGTGTCTTGGTGATACTCATCTTGTATAGAATCTCAAAGGGGTTCTCTTAATTTTCTGAATTTGAGTATTAACCTCTATAGTGATGTTGGGGAAATATCACGGACAATATCCTCAAATATATTTTTCAAATTGTCTGCTCTCTGTCCATCTCTTTCAGGAATGCCAGTTGGTCATAAGTTCAGTGTCTCTACATAATGCCATATTTCTCAGAGGTTTTGTTCATTTGTTTCTATTCTTTATTTATGTCACACTAAATTGATTAAAAAAAAACAGTCTGAGCTCTGAGAGTCTTTCTTCAGCTTGGTCTATTCTGCTGTTACACTTCTAATTGTATCATAAAACTATATTATTATTATAAAATTCAATCATAAAATCTCTATTAGATCAGCTTGGTTCTTTCATAAAACGGTTATTTCATCTTTCATCTCTTTATTGGATTCCTTGGATTGGGTTTTGACTTTCTCTTGAATCTCAGTGATCTTCATTCCTATCAAGATTTTGAATTCTATGTCTATCATTTCAGCCATTTCAGACTGGTTAAGAACCATTCTTTGTAATCTAGTGTGGTTGTCTGGAGGTGAGAGGACACTTTGAATTTTTGAATTGCCAGAGTTTCTACACTTGGTTCTTTCCCATCTGTTTGGGCTGGTATTCCTTTCATCTTTGAATTTGGTATCCTTTGGCTTGGTTTCTTTGCTTCTATACTCTCTTTTGCCCTTAAGGGTTTGACTGTGGAATAAGGTAGGTTCAGTTGACTGGTTTCACTTCTGGAAGATTTCATGGGGCCAAGGCTCAGCTTAGCACTCCTGGACTGCGTGCTCTAAACTTGGGGGGCTGGGACCATGGCTTTTTTCTCTGGCTCCTTGATGTTACATACTTGCTGCACTGGAGGAGGAGCTGAGGTGTTTCTGCTGGTCACAATTCTCCAATGGGGGAGGTGCCCAGTGAAGCACTTCACTGGAGTGGGGCAGCAATGTCTACACTTGTGCGTGCATGCCAGCAGCAAAAGAATGGAACATCACATCAGTGGGGATGAGGTGCTGACAGAAGCAGAGTGAATGTGTGTACCAGTGGGGGCAAGGCAATGAATTTCACCTTCACACATGTGTTGGCAAAGCAGTGGGGAGAGGTTGCAGTGTGGCGGGGATGTAGGTGGGTGGGTGCATATCAGTGAAATACCATCTGCTGGGGCTGTCCAATAGTTAGGCACAGTCTGCCGGCAAAGGAGCACTATGGCAGCAGCCACTGGGAAGCACTTCTGTCAGACATCTAAGGCTGCACTGCAAGTGGGTGTGACCAGGTAGGGACCCTGGGGGAGGCCGACAGACAGAGAGGTGCTCAAATCAGACTGGCCCCATACCATGGGCTAGACTGCTCTGCTGTACCTAGGTCCAACCTTCAACAAAAGCCAAAGCCATGTATAGGAGCATGGCAAGCCTCAGGGGATGGGCATCCCAGGCCATGCTCCAATGTAGCCATTCTCCTCACCAAACACTTTGGGCTCTGCACAGGCTTGAGTCATGTCCCTGCCACTTTCCCAAACAGCTCTGTTTGTCAACTCATATGTCCGTGGGGTTTGTAGAGTCTCCTGCAGCTAGAATTCCAGAGGTCCATGGTGAGAGTGGGCCACTCTTCACCTATCTAACTCACCCTTTCCTCAGGAGCTGCTGGGCGGCATGAATGAGTCCTGGTGCTCAGCAGCCTTGTTCAGGGTTCCCAGCTTCCTCTTCCTTCAGCCCAGGATCTGCATCCTCCCTTCATCCACTCTAAATGCCTTTCTTCTGAAGATCTGCTTGGAGTGTGCCAACTTTCTTGAAGTTCAGTCTCTCCGTGCGAGATGCTCTTCCTGGCCATGTCTGGTCAGCCATCTTGGTTCCTTCTCAGTTATTATTTTCTCAAATAGGTTTTTATCCCTTCATTTCCTCTTTGCCTCCTGGGACACCAAAAATTCAAACATTTGGTTACGTTATGGTGTCCCATATATCATGGAAGTTTTGTTCATTCTTTTTTGTGTTGTTTTTTATTAATTTTTGTATGACTAGACTATTTTAAAAGGCCTGGCTTCAAGTTCTGAAATTCTTTCTTATTCTTGATCCAATGTATTTTTGAAGCTTTTGAATACATTTTGTATTTCATTCAATAAATTCTTTAATTCCAGAATTTCTGAGGGTTTTTTTTTGTTGTCGTTGTTTGATTTTATGATATCTTTTTGGTAAATCCCTCATTCATATCTTGATTTTCTTTTAGGTATTTATATTGTTTTTTCTGTATTCTCTTGTTTCTCACTCAGCTTCATTAATATCATATTTTAATTTTTCCTGGGATTTTATATATTTCTTTCTGACTGGAATGTCTTGCTGGATAATTATTCTGTTTCTGTAGAGGTGTCATATTTTCTTGCTTCTTCATATTTCTTGTGTTCTTACATTGATATCCATACATCTGGCATAATAGTCATTTCTTCCAATTATTTGAATTTGCTTTCATGGGGAGGACTTTTTCCTGAATAGGTATCTATGATGTTATTTGGGTAGGGCTCTTTGGTTTGGATTTTGGGTACATATAGTATTGTGGTCCCCATATGATTTCCTCAGCTGTAAATAGTGACAGTGGTGTCTGCAATTTCCTCAGTGGCTTAGGGTGCAGTTGTTAGTAGAGGCTGTGGTTAAGTTTTGCTGGTTACAGGATGCCCAGTTAGCCTGTCCTCAATCCCCACTGGTGGCAGCACTGAGCTGAGTATGCCTGTCCTTGGCCACTAGGACAGTGTGTGCTGGCACCAGTATTAATGAATCCAGGCTGGCCAATTTTTGTGCCTCCAGGTAACTTGCTTGATAGTGGCAGTAGGTGGCCAGGTGAGCAGGCAGGTTCTCAAGACCCTGGGCAGTAGGTGTGGCATGGGCAATGGCAGTAGCAGTGGTAGGACTTACCTCTGGGTCCCAAGTGGTCCATGTTATTGTTAGCAGTAGCTATGATGGGCTGAGTGGGCCAGTCCCTGGGCCTACAAGTCGTATGTCTGGATGGGTGCCAGCTGTGGTGGTAATGACAGGTTGGGTGGACCTGACTTCAGGCCTCTGGGAGAAGTGCTGAGCTGCCAACAATGGTAAGCTGGGCTGAGTGAACCCCAGGCTCTTGGATAGAGTTCTCAGACACCAAGGGGTGGAGTCAAGAGAGTCAGATTTGTCTTCAGGCCCCTGATGGTGCCTGCAGAGACTGACTTTGCTAGACAGGGATGGGGTGACCCCCAGGCCAAGACAGAATGCTTAGGTGGGGGAGGTAGTGGCTGTACTATAGGTTTGCTGCTGGAGAGGCCAGGATTGCCTTCAATGAAAGTAGCCTAATAAAGGATGCTGCCAAGCGTGTACTTCACTTGCTCTTCATCCCAAGCAGCAGCAGCAGCCTGCAGTGGAAGCTGCTGGAGGCAGGGGAATTTATCCTTGGGGTGCATGAAAATACATGGTGGCTTCACTGCTGTAGATAAGGGGTTTTTTGCCAGTGGTTTGCACTTCAACCTTGATGGCAACAGCCGATCGTGGTGGTGACTGAGGGTGGGCAATATCAGTGGGCCTCCAGAGATGTGGAGGTGCAGGGACTGTTGGGCTCCCAGTCAGGATGCAGCCTGGTGGGGGCTGGGTTCTCAGGAAGGCATCATGCTATATAATTGCTTACGGCTCAGGGGGTGTGTGGGACCCAATGTGATCTTGATCCTTGAAGCAATGCCTTTGCCCAGTTTCCAGGCAGTTTCCTATGTTATTCTTGGGCTCTTGAGGGTTTAGGGACTTTGCTGTGGCTGGGAGGCAGGAGTCTACAGTAGGAATGCAGACCACTGGGGTCACTCACTTATCCTTTCCTACACTCGGAAGCCTCTCTAGGGTCTCCACAAATTCTTGCCAACCAGGCTTTCTCACTTTCCTGTTCTTTCCTTGCTTTGGGCATTTTCTGTCACTTTTCTGTTGAATGAATAATAATAGATTTCTTTAAAACAGAACAATTTATCTGAGCTTTCTAAACTGATGAGAGGACCACTAAATATGTTATATGGAGGTGTATACCCTAGATATACTAGGAAAATTTTCTAGTAATTATATATATGATAGAAATACTGAAATAAAGAGGTGGTGAAGAGAGAAATTGGCATGTATGTCTATTCATCCTATATGAGCAGCACCGGTATTGAACTATGATTTTCTTCATTGTGGGAGAGAATATAAACAAAAGTCATGATATTGCCTGACTTCTCAGAAGGTATGACTTAACTACACCATTTTTCTCTAATAAAGTAACTAAATTGCCTAGAAATTAACATCATTGTATCTGCTGGTATAGGTATGTTTGTGGAATTGCCTTCTTACTCCTCAATCCTGGGAAATTCCTATTCATTCCTTAGAGCTCAGTCCAAACCTTACCTTGACTGTCTCCCTGCACTGTGCTCTTAAAAAACTTGTACTTCCTGCAATTAGAGAAAAATTATCATATGAGTCTGAATTTTCCATGACATATTTGTCTCCCATTCTCCTTAATAGTCCTCTATGAGAACAAGCAATTTGTCTTGTACCCCAGTGGTAGTAGTAATATATAGAAAAGAATATTAGAGTCAGATTTTGGCAACATTTTTGCTAACTCTGAACATGGGCAAGTTACTTAGGCTCTCTGGACTTGAATTTGAAACATATAAGCTAAGTTTGATTGTACATACCTTATGGGGTACTTATGAGGCTTAGATATGATTTATGTGATGTGTCCAGGGCAATGCAGGTGAGTAGTTGGCATTTAAGTAACAAAAGTCACAGTGGTATGTGGGATAAAGGTGATGCGATATTGTATTTCATTACTTACAGTGTACCTGGCACACAAAACATGTCTGTTGCATTTACACATGAACACTGAATGTTGAATACTTCACTGGAACAAGTGAAGTTAAGGATTACTTCTGCCATAACAGATTTCAGTCTTTGAAGATTTTTCATACTGAAGAAATCCATCTATTACCAATAGTTCATTTTCTTCCAACATCCAACAGCAAATATTCTGACTCCTCTCATATTCTTGTAAGTCTCGTTTTTTTCTAGTCATAAAAAACTTGTCAATAAACACAACTTGTTTGAAAAATGCTAGACATATACCAGGCTGTATAACTAAAACCTATTAAATAATTTACCCAAATTTCAAACTTTATATAATGGCATATGTTTCCATTTCTTTCAATAAAAACTTAGTCATATTTTAGGGTTTCAAAAAAGTTGTCCAGTCAATAAAAGAGGTATAATGTTAGAGCAATGAAAACGTCATTGGACTAAAGATAAGGGGGTGAGATGGGGTGTGGGGGCAATTTTTGATTAAAGGATGACTTGTGCATTTGTTTTTCTAGTACCAATATGATCAGTTTCAAAATGGAAGCTATACTGAAACTACATAACACAAGGAAATTTTTATACATCAAATAGAGTTCTCCATCTGCCTCACTCCATATTGTTTTTTTTCTCGAGAGATCAAATCACAAAGACAAAGAAGACTCTCTACTATCTGCTAGGTATACTTATCATAGACACAATAGAAAGGTAAGTAAAGAGGCAGCTGACTAAGCCAGTTATTTTTACGACAAAATAGCCATTGGACATTTCCATGACTATAGTGTTATTTGGAGATTTAACCTAACTTGAAATCAATTCCCGTGTAGTGAAGTGAAACTAGCAATGTCCAGGAGCCCAGCTTGCAGAAAAGTCGGCATTCGAAAATGAAAATATATTACAATGCTAGCATCTTTCTAACCACTTCTCCCACAAATTATTCATTTAGACAGCTTATGAATTGGATTTGCAACCGGTGTTATGCCATACACAGTACAAAGGAATGAATGCTTGGTGGACTTTATCTGTTAATTATATAACGCATGATGTCAGATTTCATATTGCCTGGGGTTTCTGTTGTTAACCTTTAACAAATTTTAACTATGTGCTTCTTCTACATGTTTAGAAAGCTCTAAAAGACTAAGATTTCTTGGATAGTCTTAGATATCCAGACTGTGCTTGTCCAGTAGGCGGTATTTTAGATGTGACTTAGGAGATCATTGAAGTTAGAGGACATTTGTTCATGACACTTTTAAGTTGGAATCACCTCCCAGAAGCAAGTATGATCTGTTGAAGTACTGTGAATAAAGGTTAATTTTTAATGACTGAGCAGTAGAGTAAAAGTTTCTTTTACCTCTTTTTTTCTTTAATTTTTAGCTAATGTGATGTGAATATGGTGGATAATTAGAAAAGTCTCAAAATGCATTCTAAATTCATAATTTTTTGCTTTTCTTAATTACCTTTGAACATTCTTCTTGTTAAACGAATACCCCAAAATGATGATTAAAAAAAGCTAGTAGTCAGCTCCTGCCAGCCATAAATCAACATTTTTCTTGACACAATGAGTTTTCATTTATCTCTGGTATGCAGCACTTAAGGATTGATGTGTTCTAACTGTACTTTTAAGGACAGATTTTCATGTGAATACAAGCACTGGCATTTAAACAAAGAAAATCATTAATCTGAATCTAAACTTTATATTAACTATTTCACTTTTTTTTTTTTCCTCCCTGTTTGCCTGTCTTTTCTCCTTTCTATTCTCAAGGTCATTTTCTGCCATTTCCAAAGGCACTTTAAATTTTACCTAGAGTTTTTGGTTGCCTGTTAGATGAAGGGCTAAGTGATTATTTTGCAGCAAGAAAATGAAAGTTAGATGAACCTTGACATACCACTCAGGGTATAATTCATATCACCAGGATTTATCCACTTTAGGAACTAAACAGTTAACCTAATCATCTCATTTTATTGCTAATTTAGAAAAGCTTTTCCCCCTCTAAGTACACTCTCACTTTTCTAAATTCACTGCTCATGACCTGAGCCTTTTATCCACTGCACTATTACCAACAGCTAATCCCTCTCACTTATTGATAATTGGACAAAACTGAACAACGTGCCAACTCCTGAACACAGCATACCACTGAGGGTCCTATTCAGTTATTCCCGAAAAACCACATTGGTTTCCAAGTTTGGTTCTTTTGTGGCATATCAATGGGAAACAAGTGAGAGATTTTCTCATTGCTTAGGAATTTCGCCAATTCTAACCTGCTCATTGAACAATCTTTCTAAGGAATAACATTTACAGTTTATATAGTTCACAGATCTTCCCTTTCTTACAGTTCAATGAATAGTCTGCAATTCTTGTTTACTGAAATAATTACTTAATGCATATATTTAGGCTATAATTATACCATAAGTATCTCCTCCAGAACTTAGTTTATTTTGTCGATCCAATGCAAATTCAAACGAGAGATGCCCCAGTGTCTGGGGCTCATGCAGATTTATCACAGGATTAAGCCACAGGCACTACTTTCTATTTGCTTAATTAGTTCTTGAAATTATAGAAGCCTATGATTTGATGCCACATAGAAATCAATGCAATACTTTCTTAAGGGGATATTCCATCAAACTGTGAAACTGCATTATATCATACATGCAGGTGTAGGAAATATTTTGTATCTTTAAATTTAATAAACATATTTAATGGCATCTGCTAGCATGAAACAAGCCTTTGGGGCATATGTTAGGAAGCAAGGACAAAGACTTTGGCAACTGAATTATTATAGAATGAAATTAAAAGCTTACAACAGGGTAGCATTCAGAGATGCTCACAAAGAGGGTACAATGCAGTTCACACATTCATGGCTTGAATTTATGCCCTTTCCAATTCAATGGGACAGTGTTGGCTGCTTTTCACTACCTTCACACAGCCACAGGAAAATGAGGGCCCAGGAAGGGGCACACATGGCTTCTCTGCATTGGTTCTCCCTGGAACCTTCTTTTCAATTTTCCCCTAACATGACCATGTTTTCTCACAGCCTTTAACATACTTCACATGTTGATTTCCCTAGAAGTTTGATATTAAAACACAGATGGGACGCCATGAATTTTTATTAAATTTGAGCGCTTATGTTTAGAAGAATTGGGAAAGTGGCCAATGAATGGATTAAATGATACTCAGAGTTAGAAAATTGGCCATTTAAGGAAGTTAAGTGACTCAAGACACAGGAAGAAAAAAATGAAATGCAAAAAATGTTTGAAAGTGACAAGCATGTGAGGAAATCCACTGTATTGATGCCTTTATTGTCCCTTTTGAAGAATTTTTAAATACCCCTCCAAATTGTTTTATTTTGCAAGTCACCAAAATTAAATTCGTTTTAAGTTAGATGCCCACAATGGTTTTTTTTTTCCAGATTTTTTACACCTTTCATTTGAGAGTTGCATTATTAACTAACTTATCAGCACTGATGATAATTTATTAATTCATTCACTCACTTACTCATGCACCAAATACAATTTGCCCCCTGCTCTGCATCAAGCACAAGGCAAATAAGGTCTTCCTATGGAAAACGTTAATTTTCATAAGATGTGGCAAAGCCATGGCATGTTTCCATCAATGAGAGGTTGTAGTGGTGACAGAATGGGAGCTGTTTCAAAAAGGCTGACATGCTGTCTACATGTCAGAGACTCCACCAGGAATAAGGCCCAGAGCATTAGGGTCTCTGGAATTCCTCCCCATGGTTCCTCCAGGGAATCAAGTCCTAATGTCTACAGCATCCATCATAGGTAATAAATTAATTTCTTGCCTATTCCTTCAGATGGTATTAGTAATGGACCTCATAAGAATTAAGAATACGACCTCTCAAGTTATTTTCTGTGTTTCAGGGTTTGGAAGAAGAACCCCAGTTGAGAAAGGACATAGGCTTCCATAGGCCAACTGTCCATATAGGGCTTTATAACTTGATTTTAGGGATAAAGAAAGCCAGAGAAAATTGTTTAAAGTGAGTATAATAGTGTTTTGATATTGGTTATTTGGTTTGCTTATTAGAAATAATTAAACTACATTGCTTTCTTATGTGGCTGTTTTACTTGTTATTTTCTGCTTCCTCCTTCTCTCAAGCCAGACCCATTCTCCATACTTCCCTGCCTTTCCTTGTGCTTGGAGGCTGACCTCCCCATGGACCACTCGCTGGCTTTCAGGAGAGTTCAGCAAATAGTAGGCACCGGTGGAGGACTGGTGCTTTGGTGGATAGAGAGGATTGGAGTGGCTCCCTCCAAGCATGGGCCTGGGGTGTGGCTCTGTTACGGGTAGTCTCTTTCCACCTCTGCACTGGCTCCTGCAGCATGAGCCTGTAATTCTTTCTGTCCTCTTTAGGCTGAGGGATGATAACAGACCATGAGTAAAGTCTGAGTTTGTCACAGGTTCTGTCAACCCCACCTATACTTCCTAAACTCTCCTCACTACACCTGTTTGTATTGAGTCCTCTTGACATCTGGACCCTGCTGATTTCAGTAAACAGCAGCAGAATACTGAATACTGATGCCTCTGATAATTTTGTGTCAGTTAACAGTCGAGTTTTCTTTTATGTAGGAGAAATGTGCTTTAGTTAGGTCTGGAGAATAGACTTCCAAGCTATACCAAATTATCGTATGATTTTTCTAAACACAAATTTTGAAGACACCAGTATTTATCATGGTTTGATATTAATTACACAGGAAAATATTTTCATTTCCTATTCCATATAGAAGAATTTTTATCATATTTATAGTATTGATGAAAAAAATGTGTGTGCTACATCTGAATATTTACCTCAAAAGATAGAAAATAATATTCATTTGTGTATAGAAATTACTATTAAAATAATAGCAAATTTGAGAAAGGCATTACACAAAAGCAGTTCCTTTTAACATATATATTTCCTTCCTATTTATTCCAGTAAACAAATACAGTGGCCAACACAAAGATAATTTCTAAGAATTAAGAAAAATGCCTATTGCTCACTTTTTCCTGTGGTTAGTGTTTCTAGTTTGAGAGTTAGATAGCTTAAAATCTCTCAAAGTTTGCATTTTTATGTCTGACTCAATTTATCCCAATAAAATAACATGGTTGCAAGGCCTGGATTAAGGTTCTGTGTAGAATCCCAGAGAAGTCCACAATTTGCTTTATGCTGTCATTTTAGTATTCCCTGTACTCATAGTGTCATTTTTTTTTCAACTTGCCTTGGATTCCTAGAGTCAGCAATGAGCTTTAATTTGTAAACATTTTTTTACCCATTTACATATAAAGCAACTACTATTATCACTAGGCAGCTGGTTGAAACAAACATCAGTAATAAGTCATGAAGTCATAAAATACAAGTGCTGTATCTCTTTAATTACTGAGTGTAAACCGCATTATGTGGGATACTTGTAATCCGATTTGGAGTAGCATTTTGACCAACTGTCCAGAAGCCTGTAACTGAAGCTGCGGAAAGCAGACCCCGAAACAGTATTTTTAGTAGTTCCCAAGCTGGTAAAAAGAAAATCAGACAAAAAAAAATAAATAAATAAATAAAAAAATAAAACACGACAATGACAGAATCTCAGAATTAGGGAAAAAAAGTGGTAATTATATTTTTTAGTTTTCTTTGTTAACAATAGTGGTCAAAGATGAGAAAAGGAACTTCATAATTAAAGAACATTTATAGCCAACCTATTTAATGTATTTGTTTAAAACTGAAGCTGACTGTTTAAAAAGTTATGGGTGGGTATACTCCAGAACAAACCTGGAGGGATCAGTAGCTTTGCTTTTGCAAAAAGAAAGAGGCATACACAGTACAACTACGAATGGATGTAACTCTGGCTATGGCCCAGGTGTGGGTAAAGTGAGACCTCCCCACACACTCGCACAGCATGGCTGAATTGCCATAATAAATCCCAGTTAACCCTGCAGCCAGGGCCAAGCCAGCTTGAGAAAAGGGTCAGGAAAACAGGAGTGAAAGTGTTAAAGAAGTGATACTATTTAAATGGGGTTGCAGAACTCCTATTAAAAATGGCAGTACTATAAATGTTCTAGTATTGTCAGGAATGTTCTGTTGGATGACACTGTGCTGTGATTTGTACACACAGCAGACCAGAGTTGATGGGTGAATGAAATGATCCATAACCCTCTCTGACACATTTAGAGCAGTTCAGCTGCACACAGAGAACAGTCCATCATTTTCACCCTTCTGTGAAAGCTGGCTTTACCAAGTGTTTCAATGAAATATGTGCAACTTCCCATTTAAATTAGTACCACATGAACCATGAAGAGCACCACAGGTATCTGTTGTAGTACCAGCCTAATGTAAAAGTGGCCTGTCTTGTAATGCTCTAACAGGAAAGACATACAACCATTCATCTGTAACATATTAAAACCAGAAGAAATAAATTACTCCATAGATGAAGAATTATTGCTTGTGAAGAAAATGTGCAAAGGTAGTCCTAAAAAGCAGCTTTTACTAAAAAATTATCGCAACAGCATTTGAATTCTTAATGCATATTAAACTGAGAACTTGTAACCATAAATCATCATTTTTCAATGGAGGAAGTCTGGTTAAAACTTTTAGCAGAGATTTGTTTCACTTCTTCACCAGCTTTAGCCTTGGCATTGATAGGAAACTGCCTCAGACAATCACTGCTCCTATGCCACGAGCAGTGAATCAGAGTGATTATAACAACGGCAAGCAACAAAAAGAGTAGACGTGTATTAGTTTTTCTTTAATGTTTATTTCATAACATGACATAATCTAAGTGAGGTTAACTACAATGTATCAACAAAGCCAGATCTCTCCCTGTTATGAAAAAGAGTGCTGCTTAAGTAACACTGTAACGAATGAATAGTCATCTTTGCTTAAATATGTGTGATTTAGGTGCAATGGCTTAGGACCATAAAAACCACCCCAGTGTACACAATATTCATTTCAAAGGAACATGAATGGTTGCAATTCAGTCAAACTACTTTCCTAATAACTTTAAATGCTCATGCAATAAACATAGTAACAAAAAACACGTACCGGGTTATGGCAATGGACCAGGTACTTTGCTAAATATTGTACACACATGATCTTACGTAATTCTCACAATTGTGCTATAAAATGGATGATTTTACTATTACCATTTTCCAGGTAAAGAAAACAGCTGCAAAGAAGTGAGGCAACAAGTCCCAAACCAGCCAGGAGAATCCTAAAATTAGAACTTGACAGACAGCCCTGTGGGTTCCAAAGTGCATTCATGAAAATGTTATTATTTGAGTCTCATAACAAACTCTAGAGGTAGATTGGGTGGTTACCATCATTTCATTTTATACATGGAGAAACCTAATTTCAGAGGGATGCAGTGGCCTGCCCTAGTTTAGAACAAGAAGATGACAGAGTGAAAAAGTTAAGACCTGAGGTTGGAGCTTCACCACAATGTGGCAGGGCCACTCCTGGGGTAAGCCTGAGGCATACACTCAACCCTGTGTACATTCTCACTCCATTCACCTATTCAGAGCAAATTCACCCCATTTCAATTTAAAGTAGCAAAGGATGTATGCAGAAATATTTTTTAAAGGGATTTAATTATGTGGCTCAGTAGATTTCAACATAGTTTCTGCAAAAGAAAAAAATCTGTTGTATCTATAAATAATCTGTTTCTCTAGTTTAAAAAAAAAGTCAGGCTGTGAGTAATGTGAAACAACCATACATAAAGAAAAAGTAAGCTATAGCTTTCCCAGTAACAGGGAAAGTCGTTTCTTACCAACTATTTTAGGGCATCCTGATATTTTCGCATTTGAGATGGGCCTTCCTATACCCCAGCACTTTTTGCAGTTTTGTGGGTCATAACAGATAACAGGTAGGTTGAGTGTTGGGTAATTGGAGAGTTCATCGAGTGGCCTTTGTAATGGCTATAAATTCAGGATAAAAAATTTTCCCAATAAGATTACCAACCAGAAAGGCACATAGTATAGTCATACAACAATGTTAAATGTTGTTTCTTTGTAGTAGATTCACATTGCTCAGGTTAAAACTGTGCTGCTAATATTAAAACTCATTGCCTATTTGCACAGTTGCTTTCTTCAAACACACCCCTGAGATAGCATTCATAGCTCTGTGGACACTTGCATATTAAGGGAATCTAATTATAAGCAGCAATTTATCAGAATTGTCACTTTTAAGCTGGATGTCACATTTTAAATAAAGTTCTGTCATGAGGTATCCAAAGAAGATTTCAAAAGTTGTAAAATTTATCTGAATGGCATCTAAATAATCAAAATAATGGAAAAGGCATCTGTAGCACTAATCATTTTCTAGAAGCTACAAAATTAAGAGTTCCATATATTGGAGTAAAAACTGAAGAAAGTTCTACTTTTCATATAAAACTTATTCAGTCCTCTCCAATGCCAAGTCTATCTAACACAAACATAATACAATATGTTACAACAAATAGTGTAGCTGGTAAAATTTTGCAACTATATTATTCCTCAATCTAATGAGGTGTATGAATGTAGGAGTCCCATGATCTATCTATAAAGTGAAGGTAATTTAGGAATGAAAAAATAAATTGTATTTTGCTATTCATGCTTGCTTATGATTTATTTTAAACCTAAAGCCAAAGAGAAGAACATTATCTGAAAAAAAAAAAATCAGGAAGAGGATAGTGGACCATCACACTATGTGGGAAAGTGCAGGAACACTCAGCTGCCTCCAAGAGTTTAATGAAGGGACTCTTTCCAAGAGTGAAGCTGGGAATAGGAGAAACCACCGGAGATGGAGAATTACTCTGCAACTAGGAATGGCAGTGCGATCATAAGGAATTTATGTCTGGCCTTTGTCCCTAGTTGTTGACACAGAGCTTCTAAAATTCTTGTAATTTCCTGAGAGCTAAGGATGATAGGAGCATCTTTTATTATTCAACATAAGACCCTTTTAATCATTCTTGAGTTTATGTTAATGAGGTGACTGATGGTGGACCCCTAGGTAGTTTCAGGATGGGGACTGGTTGCCAAAGGAACAACCAAACATGTGATTAAATACTTAGAACTTTCAGCCCCATCCCCTGACCTCCCAGGAGGGTGAAGAGCAAGATAACGATTGGTTGTGACAACATGATAAAACCTCCATCAAAATGCTTAACAACAATGTTGGGAGAGCTTCCAGGTGAACACATCAGGGTGCTGGGAGAGTGGTGCAGTTTGAAAGGGGGTAGAAGCGCTGCCCCCATCCATCCATACCTTACCCTATGCATCTCTTCCATCTGGCTGATCTGGAGTTATAGGCTTTGTAATAAACAGGTAATAATAAGTAAAATGCCTTTCTGAGTTCTGTGAGCTGTTCCAGCAAATTACCAAAGCTGAGGGGCATGGTGTGGGAATTCCTGACTTTTTAGCCAGTTGGTCATAAGTACCAGAGGTCCAGGACTTGGAAGTGGCAAGTAGCAGGCAATCCTGTGGGACTGAGCCTTTTTTTTTAAATTTTATTTTATTATTATTATACTTTAAGTTTTAGGGTACATGTGCACAATGTGCAGGTTAGTTACATATGTATACATGTGTCATGCTGGTGTGCTGCACCCATTAACTCGTCATTTAGCATTAGGTATATCTCCTAATGCTATCCCTCCCCCCTCCCCCCCACCCCAAAACAGTCCCCAGAGTGTGATGTTCCCCTTCCTGTGTCCATGTGTTCTCATTGTTCAATTCCCACCTATGAGTGAGAATATGCGGTGTTTGGTTTTTTGTTCTTGCGATAATTTACTGAGAATGATGATTTCCAATTTCATCCATGGGACTGAGCCTTTAACCTGTGGGGTCAGCGCTAACTTCAGGTTGTCTGTGTCAGAATGGAATTTAACTGTAGGATGTCCAGTTGATGTCTGGAGAGTTGGAGAGTTGGTTGGTGTGAGGAGAAAATCCCACATTTGGTGTCAGAAGTATTTTGAATAAAAAGAGCTCAGAGTCAGGATCCTCTATTATAGACATAAAACTTACTTAATATCCCAATTCAGGTTTGACATACACAGCAACCCTTCTTTTAAACAAATTATTTAATTAACCAGAACAGTATGGCATTTCCTGCCCATGCCAACTAATTACTTCTCCTCTATACATTACCTCATTACTCTGTTTGTATTATTAGGATAGCAATGGCCAGCTTGATAGGCTGTTTTAAAAACACCCGTCTCCTCCGTTTCTAGACTGTGCATTTCTTGAAGAGGTGATCGTTTCATTTCCAGAGCTAGAACTAAATCATACATGGAGTTACACTGATTTGAATAGCAATCTGAGCTCACTTGTGTGAACACATGTGTGTGCGTTGGAAATGCACAAAGAAGAGTGGCATTATGCATTTAAGATCTGACTCCCAGCCTTCTATCTGGGGTGAAGAAGAGGAAGGCAATTACTAAAAGTATAATAAAAGTTGACAAAAGTAAAAACTTCAATTATGTATCTATATCTAAAAGCTGTAATATGACATTTCTACATTGATAGGTTCTGCCCTTTCTCTGTTTCTTCTGCTTGGGGTCTAGACACACCCGCAGCATCCCATTTTCTTCCCAGCTCCAATTATCACCAGCCAGTTACTACAAAATAATTGTCAAATGGTCCTTAACCCTACGTTGGTTATTCATGTATTTTAGTTCCCTCCTGTTCCCTTTTCAATTACACTCCCCACACCTCATTACCTTCCTAGATCTTCTCCCAGTGAGAGCCACTGAGAGCCTCGGGACTCTGCGGTTTTCATCCCCTAAGTGTCTCTGCTCCTCTCTTTCTCTGATTAAATTTCTTGGCAACTCTAACTGAAGACTTACACTCCAGCTAGTTTCTCTCTGATTTTCTCTCTGGTTTCCCATGCCCTCTCCTATCCAGTACCTGCTGCTCTTATTTTCTCCCAAATCCCCTTTCCTGGAGTCCATTCTTCATATGTGATTTCACCTACTGTGTCATAAAACTGTTTCCTACAATGCAGTGTTTTAAATTCTCATTCACTCATGTCTTCTCCTGTTTTCCCTTACTTCTCTACAGAGCATTTCATTCTTAACTCTTTCATGTTAACTCCATCATTCTCCCTTATTAAAACACTCCTTTTGCAGTGGTTGACACACGCTTGCCTAGGAATTTATTTCTTGAAGATCCTATCTTTCAGTTTGTCCAGTTTTAGTTATTTTATCCTGAACCTCTCTGGCTGTTTACTGGCAACTTTCTTTGTCTTGCTGATGTCTTTTATCTGTTTGATTCGCCAAGTACCACTTCTTCAGTCTATACATATTTCATTGACATGCACAGTAGAAGTAGTAGATTAAAATGCCATTTTTATTGGGCATTAAATTGATCAAATCACTTTTGTCCCCAGGAATTTTTTAAAGAATGATGCATATTTTGTTGGTTTTTGGTGACAGGCAAACAGGTGCTATAGCTGATGTTGAATCTGTGTGAGAAAGTTTTAGCACTTTTTTATCTGTGAAAGTTGAGGTATAAAAAAGATGAGGATTTGAAGGAAAAAGGAATATCACAACTTAAGTATGGGAATTTTTTAATCCCAAGCCAATCACTCTGATGATTGCTTAATTTTTAATCATCATGTTTAATATAGACATACGTTTGTGTGTATGTATGCATGTATAAGATTTTTTAATAAAATCAATTATTTTTGTATATTTTAAAGCTTCTGAGGCTTTTATTATCATAGTTTGCCTTGGCAGAGCAGTGTCAATGGTGCCGGGAGAGACTTTACTCATCCTCTGCAAACTATCCATTTTTCTGCCAATATTTGATATCCCATCTTCTGTCTTGTTTATTTTGTTTGTGGTAAATTATCATTTTGGCAATGTGCCCTTGAAACAGGCTTCATTGATACAAAAATGTGTCTGATCTGGCCAGCAGGAAAAAGAAAAAAAGATGTATAATTCTTCATAACAATGATTCTGGGGGGAATTCAGTAAAGGGCTTGGTTAAGATAATGAGATAGCCTTAATTCCAAAGGCAATGCATATTCAATAGTGTTTGCAGTTTCATCTCAAATTGTTTAAAAATTAATAATGAATAAGAAAAAGCACTGTGCTCACACTCATGGAATGATTTTTACTGAGAACCCAAATAACGCTCAGTTGAAATGGGATTCAACGTAAGCCCATTTGGTCTGAAGAGGCTATAATTCTCATATAGGAATTCCCATCTCCAGTAATGGGCAGAATTATCTGAGGAATGCGCCTAATACAGTGACGTGTACTTGGTGGGCACTGTACACAATTTCATTAAGGAGGATCATTTAAAGTGGTCTTTTAAAACTGGGGGTGAAGGGAAATATCAAGGGTCTTATGTACCTGAACAAAATGTTTCCAAATAGCAGAAGAAGCAGACTTTGTTTGCTTAGATAAAGAAGGCAAGTTGGTCGCAATTAGTCACATGTTTTTATAATTACCATGTAGAAATTAGTAAGATCAACTATGGCACACTACTTTAACCAATGAAATGTTTAGAAATACTGGATCAACTCAAATGTTTCCATCTAAATTCCTCCTCTGTTCAATATTGATATTGCAAACAATGTAAAATTTCTTTGTTGTTTCTACTTTATTCTGTTGTATCTCTTTTTCAAAAAGAGAAAAAAGTAAACACACACTGTATGAGTTTTGGGCCTAACTTGCAGGCTAAAAACCATATATGCTGAATTCTGTTTCCAATTTTGATAATAATTTGCTGAAAAATAATCCAAGTAAAAGGAAAATAGATTGAGTTGAATATTGATGTCTATAATGCATTTATATCTCAACTTTAAAAATATCTATTTACAGCTAAACTCTACTATACCTATTTTTCTATGACTCTATACGTTTTATATATTTATATAAATTATATATGTTTCCATGCATAACTTGATACTAACCAAATTTTACAACTCAAACATAAAATTTTTCAAAGCTAAATATCAGTATGCTTTTCTCTGATATTTGGATTTAAAATATTTTATAACAGTTGAGTTGTTATGACATTCAAACCATATCCTTGTGAAAGGAAAATTACAAAAAGTTAAAATCCTAGGATAAATCAAGGAAGTAGGAGGGTGGTTGATCCCAAGAGCAGTGAATAGAAAGAGGAAACAACTCTAGTTTAAGAATTTAAGTAAGGTGATAGTGTAACACACACACACACTCAATATTCTCAAGGGCGTTCTAACGAAAATCCTATGGAACAGGCTACATATACTTTTTATTTTTCTTTCCAAATTATCTCTGGAATTTAATTTACTAGAAGTCATACAAATCCAGTGAGAAATAAGCATTTTTGCCCTGTGTTATATAATTCAAGAAGCTGCTAAAAATAAGTACATAAGACAATACTTATGTAAGATGAAATTTGGAGACCACAATTGAAATGAAGTAGAGATACACTAGTCACAGATGCTTTTGCTTCTTTCTAGGAGTTCTTTAACATGGTTTTAATCAGCATATTCTAATTCATTGATGAAAGAGAACACAAGAACAAAGCCAAGAAGAAAATTTTCTTGATCTCTGATTATTATCTAATATTAGTAAGCACTCCCCTGTATAAGGCACTATGTAAAAGGACACTCTGGAAATGCATTTTTTAATTCCTATTGCAGATAGTATGTAGAGACGTAACATTTGAGATTATGAACATGCAATATAATCCAAATCAACATTTCAGATACATTTCATTTTTATAGAACAAGCAATGACCAAATATTTAATAAAAATATAATTGGTAAAAATTTGTCCTAATAATTTTAAAACTAACCATTTTCAAATTATTTAATTATTATTACTTTTAGAATAAGGAGCTTTTTGCTTTGGGCTTCCATATTTGAATGAGTGAAATTCATTTATTCATTTGAAAAGCAGGTAGTGTGCTTGGCACTGGGAATACTGCAGTGAGTAAAATAGACAAGATCCAGCTGTCATGGAACATGCAATCTAAAAGGGAACATAATCAACAAACAACTACTTACATAATTAAAGACACTATATAAAAATTGTGATAAGGGCTATATAAGAAAAGCACAAGATGTGTTAAGAAGTATTAGTAGGGAAACGTGACTTCTTTGGGGGATTTTATAGGCCTTCCCTGAAGGTGTGACAATTAAGCTGAAAGCTGAATGGTTACTAAGAATTAGCAGGGAAAAGAATGAGAAGAAATGGTATCATTGGAAGCCATTATCAGAAGTTTCAAATATTTTTTCCTGTGGTTTGGAAAGTCTTTGAAGGGTTTAGCATGAAAAGAGATATTTTCAGATTTTTTTTAAAGAATCATAATTACTGTGCTGTGCATATAATAAATTGAAGGGTTGAGAATTGCACTGTCAAATGTGGCAGTCTTATCTTGACATGAGGCTACTGAGTATATGAAATGAGACGAGTATGAATTGAGATGAGCTATATGTATAAGATATATACAATATTTTAAATACTTTGTAGAAAAGACATGTAAAATATATAAATGTTTACAATGGTTATGTGTTATAATAATGTGGACATATTGAGTTAAAATGCATTAATACAATTTATTTCACTTGTTTTCTTTATTTTTTAATGTTACTATTAGAAATTTAAAATTACATGTGTGGAGTTTTCAGCTCTAAACAAAATGACATACATGACATTTTTCCCACTTTATTCCATTAAATACAGCTGTAAACCCTGAAAATAATGCAAAAAACAACCAAGTAGAGTTCTGAGGGAAGAAAAGAGTAGGGGAAAGAAATGAGGGACTCCACAATTGGAAGAACAATGTAGTGGCAGGGTATTACAGAGACCCCAATCCTTTGAAGAAGGTGACCCAAGCCCAACCTTTTCTGAACTCCAACCTAGAAACATTAAACCTAGAGCCCAGATAGGTTCATTTCTCTCCACAGTCGAATGGAAGATCACTGGACAAAAACAAGGAATCTAACCAGCTCTACCGAAGGGCATTGACTGGGAGCCCTGTTGGCAATGAAGGAGCACAGGAAGAGTTTTCCTTTTCTGCTGGGCCTGAGATTTTCCTCCTCCACCAAGAGGAATTGGGTGGGCAGAAGACAAAGGCAACCCAGGCCATGAAGCTTCTTCCTCCACTTAGAAGCACCAGGTGCCTCACCTGAGGAATCTCTGCCTTCTCAGGCAGCATCAGGAGGAACTGGTGAGAGCCTGAACAGCAGCAACTACACCTAATGACAAAAATAGCATCACAAGACTCTAAAAACTAAATTTTCATCATAACCATAACTTAGAAAAGCAGGCCAGTATTTGAAGGCAAAACTCAGCGGTATGACTACTTTCTAGAAGAGGAGACTTAAATTGTGCCCATAATCTCCTTAAATAATAGCCAAAATGTCCAGAATAAAACTGAAAATTACCCATCATATCAAGATCTAGGAAAACCACAGTATTTGGCTGAGAACTACCAGCCTCCTGTTAATTGCTGACCATGAAAATCTCTATTGTTTTCAAAGGTGCCCTTAGGTTTTAACTTCCCCCGCTATGTTTGAAATAAAGCTTCCTAGTTTGCCTCTCCTGATGTGAAGCTTCCATCCTATAAGCAAGCTGGGGTCAGGGCCATCAGGGGCCCAGTATTCTCATCCTTCCATGTGTGAGATTAATCCTCTGAACCTGTTAGTGGTGGCCAGGTGGAGGAAGGGAAACTTCACCTCCTGGCTGTACTCACCAGGAATTTAGCCTCTGCAACTTGGAGCAAGAAGGGTTGAGAAATGATGCCAACATTTGGTATCAGTTAGTTGTCCACCAACCTCCTCTGGTCAGCAATTAAGAGGAGGCTGGTAGACAACCAACTGATACCAACACTGAGATGACTCAAATACTGTAAACATCTAACAAGGCTTTAAAGCAGCCATTATATAAACATTTCAATGATCAATTATAAAGCTTCTTGGAACTCCAGCAAAGAATAAAAAAGGTAGGTGTGGTATAAAAGAGCATTATGTGGAATCCTTGCAGTAATGTAGCTATTCTGCATCTTGACTGTGGTGGTGGCTACATAAACCTACGTGTGATAACATCACATAGAACTAACTGACACAAAACACACAAACACATAAATGAGTACAAATAAAATGAGAAATCTGAATAAGATCGGTGGACTGTAGTGTAATGTAAATATTTTATTTGGGATAGGGTATTATAGTTTTGCAGGATTTTACCACTAGAGAAAACCAAGTGCAGGGTACATGGAATTGCAAATCTAGTCATTTCAAAAAAAAATGTTTAGTACTATATATGTGAAACATATTTCCATTGGTCATTGCTGGTCTACAACAGCCAACAGACTGGTTAACTACTTAAGCAGTGGCCTGGGAGAGACATGATGATGGAATGAACCAGAGAAATGGCATTGAGGGAGAAAAGACAAATTGAAGCCTGACACAAGTCAATGCTAAAAGAGAACTCTCTGAACAGAGCTGCAACATTGTGCTGCATCAGGGTCTTAAAATGAAAGGGTCTTCAAATGAAAAAATTAAATGAGTATAGAAACTCCTATTTCTACTCCTATTTCCTGTCTGGCATATAATAGATGTTGAATGGTTCATTTCTGAATGAAATGAATTAAAAATGAAATAATCCAAATTTATAGAGACAGCTTAGGAATGTAATCATTTGGAAGAAACATTCAGATGTTATTACAGAAAAGCTCTTCAAACGTAATTGTTTGGGAGAATTCTCAGCAATACATGCTGATTGTCGAGACAACACAGTGTGGAAACCAGAAACATCATGTCCCCGTTTGAGGGAATAATATTTGTGTGTATGTGTCTCTCTGTGTGTAATTTGTATTTAAATTAACAAAACTGCAAGAGTTTATTATTTATGCAATATCTTTTTGTACAAAGTTACTAATAGAACAATGCCACATTTTTAAACATTGGTATGTGAACCATAAAAATGGAAGAAACTCAAACTGCTCTCTTCTCTCCTGAATATCACTTTTTGCTTGCAACATCCTTGGTTAAGAAAGAGCAGTATAGGCTGGGCGAGGTGGCTCACAGCACTTTGGGGGACCGAAGCGGGCAGATCACGAGGTAAGAGATCAAGACCATCTGGCCAACATGGTGAAGCACCATCTCTACTAAAAATACAAAAATTAGCTGGGCTTGGTGGCATGCGCCTGTAGTCCCAGCTACTTGGGAGGCTGAGGCAGGAGAATCCCTTGAACCCCAGAGATGGAGGCTGCAGTGAGCAGAGATCACACCACTGCACTCTAGCCTGGTGACAGAGCAAGACTCCGTCTCAGAGAAAAAAAAAAAAAAAAGAAAAAAGAAAAAAAGAAAAAGAAAAAGAAAGAGTAGTGTAACAATTCCACTTCTGGATTAACATTGTAAGGAGACTGTGGACCTGTTACAGCAGAAAACAGATATAATAGGCAAAAATTATTTTTTAAAAAATCTCCAGAAATTGTTCTAAAAACATACAGCAGACTTTTAAAAAACTTGTCTGAGAAAATGTACTAAATCTCTGTAAGACAAACAAGAGTCTGTGGCACGTGAGCAATGTTTGCCTCACTCTAACCTCTCCCTCCCAGGTCACCTTCATAAAAGTTCAACTCTGGGAAGGTGTGCCCAAATTGAGATTACCTGCCCCATTAATTTCCAATCAAAGGATACAGTATATCACCAGGAAGGTAGCCACCAGCATTTCTCAGCCCCTCTTACTCCAAGTTGCAGAGGATAAATTCCTGGTGAGTATGGCCAGGAGGCCACGTGGCCACCTGGCCACCACTAATAGATCAGAGGATTAATCTCACACATGGAAGGATGAGCATACTGGGCCCCTGATTGCCCTGACCCCAGCTTACTTATAGGATGGAAGTTTCACATCAGGAGAGGCAAGCTAAGAAGCCTCACTTCAAACAGAGTAGGGAAGTTAAAACCCAAGGGAACCATTGAAAACAACAGAGATTCTCATGGTAAGCAATTAAGAGGAGGCTGGCAGTTCTATGAGGGCAAGAAGCTAAACTGTAGGCTAGGTAGCTTACCAGAGACTACAAGGAAAAGAGACACTTAAGTAGAGCCTTCCTGGGGACACAACAAACATGAAAGACTGGCCTCAAACACTGCCGTTACCAGAATTTACTTAGATGAGACTGTAGAGCAATTTATGCCTCAGGACTGTTTTGAAAATAATAGAACAATTAGACAGCCATCAATGTAGCATAACATCTTAGTGGAAATACCCAATAATGCAGAGAGCTTAACAGAGATATCAGGGAAAGAGACAGTCAAAAAGAGCCCTCCTAAAATTGCTACAATCCCACGGTGACTGTGTATATGCCCAAGGCTGTACCCTCTGAGGAGTGACATCAGAAGCTTCACACTGTGAGGAAAATAGACTTCACTATCATAGTCTAGCCAAGTCAGTAAACAAATTAAGAAGTAAACAAAAAAAAAAAAAGGAAAGAAGAGAGAAAAAAAATGTTCTAGAGAGGGAAGTGAAAAAACATTATGCAGCATTACTAAAGTATTACTTAAAATGTCTAGTTTACAACAAAAATAAATAAGAGCGATGCAAATAAACAGGAAACTTTGACCCACACGTAGGAAGAGGAGCAAGCAACAGATGTTGACTTTAGAGGACCCAAGTGTTTGATTTAAGAGTAAAAGACTTCAAGTCAACCAACATAAATAGAGTCAAATAACCAAAGGAATGCATGCTTAAAGAAATAAAGAAAGCTATGATGCAGTGCCATGAAATAGAGAATATTATAAGAAGGTAGGAACTGTAAAATGGACCAAATGGGACATCTTAATTGAAAAGTACAATAAACAGAAGTAACAAATTGACAAGAGGCTAAACAGTATACTTGAACTAGTAGAGGAAAGACTCAACAATAGAAATTATACAATTCAAAGAACAGATATAAAAATAAACAAAAATGAACAATGTCTCAGAGAAACACGGGTTGCCATTTAGCACAGAAACGTATGTATAACAGGAGGACTAAAAGCAAAGGAGAAAGAGAAAACAAAAAGGAATAATACTCAAAGAAATAACAGTTAAAAACAACAATATGCAATCCTAAAAGCTCAACAAACTCTATATAGGATAAACAGAAAGAGATCCACACACGAAAACATCATAGCAAAGGGAAAGGATATTCTGAAAGCAGCAAGAGAAAAACAAATGACAGGTGCAGAAAAACCCCAATAAGATCAACAAGTGATTACTCACCAGAAACAATGGAAGCCAGAAAGTGGTAGAATGGAATATTCAACAACATGAAACAAAACAAAACAAACCAACCCACAATTATCCATCAAGGATCTTATATCTAGCAAAATTGTCTCCCAAAAATGAGGAAGAAATAAAGGCATTGTCAGATTAATAATAATGATAATAATAATAAAAACAAAGAGAACCCATTGCTAGCAAATTCACATTACAGGAAATACTTCAAGAAAGCTGTTCAGGCTGAAAGCAGGTAACTTAGAGAGTAATTTAAATCCACATGAAAAAACAAAGAGTACAAGTAAAGGTAATTACGCAAAAAAGATAAAAAGATAGTACAAATGTATATTTATTTTTCTTTTTCTCCTAGCTGATTTTGAAAACAACTATATACAAAATATGTATTAAATTTTCTATTGGAAGAACAACATTTAGAAGTGTAATATGTATTTATTGCACAGAGGAGGTGCACAGGAGCAAAGCTTATTTGGAGTAGGAAAATGATACTACATAGGAACACAAATGCACAAGAACAAATGAGGAGAATCTGACATGGTAAATAAGATTAATGTATAAAACTCTATGAATATATATATACCTCCTCTTCTTTCTTACCTCAGCTTCTTAGATGGACAGAAAATTATGTAAACCAATAATTATAACAATGTATTGTTTGTTGTTGAGTTTGTGACATATATAATACATATATATGTAATATAACTATATAGAAATACCATGTATCACTGGAATAAATTAGTATAAATCTGAAGTAGGTTCAGATAAAGGAACCAGTAAAAATTATCTAAAACATACATAATAAAATTATTAAATAATTTAAATGTTATACTAGAATATATTCTTTTAATGAAAGAAAAGGATAATAAAGGGGAAAATGCACATGAGGTCTATAAAAAGCACAATGTCAGACATAAATCCAAATATATCAATAATAAGAATAAATGTGAATGGATTAAACAATGTAATCAAAGGTAGTTTTTCAGACTGGATAGAAGACAAAATCCAATAGTATCCTATTTATAAGAGATAAAATTTAGATTCAAAGGTAGAAATAGATAGAACCAAAGGAGGAAAAAGTCATGTTAATTACATGTTTTAGTTTCCTGAGGCTGTTGTAACAAATTACCACACACACAAGTTTATTTGCTCACATTTTTGGAGGTCACATGTCTGTAATCCATTTTACTGAGCCAAAATTAAGATGTCATCAAGGCTGCACTCCAGCGGAAGTACTAGAAGAGGAAATATTCTTTGTCTCTTCCAGCTTCTGGTGGCTGACAGAATTCTTTGACTTGTGACTACATTACTTCCAACCCTGCCTCTTTGATCGCACTGACTCCTCCTTTTCTGTGAGTCAAATATTTTTCTTCAGGCTAGGCATGGTGGCTCATTCCCATAATCCCAGCACTTTGGGAGGCCGAGGTGGGTGGATCACTTGAGGTTAGGAGTTCGAGACCAGCCTGGCCAACATGGTGAAACCTCATCTCTATTAAAAATACAAAAATTAGCTGGGTACGCTGGTGCGCACTTGTAGTCCCAGCTACCCGGGAGGCTGAGGCAAAAGAATCACTTGAACCCGGGAAGTGGAGGTTGCAGTGAGCAAAGATTGTGCTACTGGACTCCAGCCTGAGTGACAGAGCCAGACTCTATCTCTCTCTCTCTCACACTCTCTCTCTCTCTCTCTCTCTCACTCTCTCTCTCTCTATATATATATATATTTTTTTTTTCTGCCTCTCACTTATAGGGACAATTGTGATTGGATTTAGGACCTACCCAGATAATCCAGGATAATCTCCCTAAATTAATATTATTAAATTAGTTCCCTTTACAAAGACAGTTTTTCCTCATAGGGTAACATCGACAGGTTCCAATAATTAGGATTTATTATATTTGGGTGGCCATTAGTCAGTTTGCTATGGTCATTTCTGTGGATTCACATCCCTCCCACATGCAAAAATGCATTCATCCTATCTCAACGTTCCTGTAAGCCTCAACCCATTTCATCATCAACTAAATTCCAAAACCTCATTTCAAAATAATCAGGCTATAATCTCGGATTTCATCATCTAGTTTATTTGAATCAGGTATGAGTAAAATATTGAGTATTATCCAATATGGAACAAAAATCCTCTCCTTTCCACTTGAAGAACTGCAAAACTAAATAATTTATTTATTTCTGAAATACATTTGTGGGATGGACACCATATAATAATTATAGGCATTCCCATTCTAAAAGGAAAAATCTATGTAGAAGAAATGACTATTCACAAATAATTTAAAAATACATATTCAGAGAGGTGAGCTCAATTAGGTTTTGGGAACTGGAATAATCCTCTAGCCTGAAGATCCATCCTCTGGGTCTGTACTGCTGCCATCTCTGCACATGGTCTTGGTCTCTTCCTCTTCACCTACAGCTCTGTCCTCTGGCACCAACTGCCATTGAATAATTCTTTCTTTCTTTCTTTCTGGTATTTTCTTTTTTTTTTTTAATGGGATAGCAGTTGAATAGTTTTATAAACCTGTTCCTGGATCTAGCATTTTGGGAATCTAAGAGCTTTCCTTCATTTCCACTCCATTTTTGTCCCCTTTCAGTCCAAGTTTACAGTGTATTTGCTAATATATCATTTGTGGGTATTCTATATTTGTAATGAACATTTAAAACACTGAAACCCACAAAAGCGTCCCCAACAGATTTTTCCTCAATAATCTCATCTTTATTCCTGGCTTCATCTAAGATGATTGAGTGAATCCATGAGTCACATGCATAATCTCTTTTACACTAGCAAAGGGTTGTCCGGCCTCGCTTTAGGCCTATTCCCCAGAGAACCCTGTCTTAACAGGGAATCTCCTAATAACACAGTTTTTAAAAATCTGGATAGACAAACAATTTCCAAAATTACTAAATATCATTCCTTTTTGATTAACATTTATTTCCTCACTTTTCTCTTTTATCTCACATTTTACTATAAGCGGCAAGAAGAAACTAGTCCACATGTTTGACACTGTCCTTGAAATATCTTAGCTAAATATTCAAGTTTATTATCATCAAATTCTGCTTTTTGCAAAACTATAGGATAGAATTGAACTGTTTCTGCCACTCTATAAAAAGGTTTGTTTTTCTTGTAGTTTCCGATAACATGTTTCTTATTGCCTTTTAATCAGTACCCAGAAGTGTCTTTAATGTTCAAATTTCTACCAACATCCTGTTCATAACAGTATATACATAACATTATTCTCTAAGACAATATAGGCTTGATCTTAGGTGCTCCTCGTTTTTTTCTGAGATCTCATCAGAAGTGCCTTTCACTGTCATATTTTTAACTACAATCTGTTTAATGCCATCTAATTTTTTCTATCATGTGCCTCAGAATTTTTCCAGCCTCGACACATTAACTAATTTCAAAGCCACTTCCATATTTTCAGTTATTCGCTATAGCTGGATTTCACTACTCAGTACCAAAATGTGAATTAGTTTCCTGATACTGCCATGATAAATTACAACTATCTTGTTGACTTAAACACACATTGATTATTCCCTCAGTTCTGTAGACTACATGTCTGAGATCAATTTCACTGAGCCAAAATTAAGGTGTCAGCAGGTCTGCACTTCCAGTGGATGCAGTATGGGCATAAGTTTTTTGTCACTTTGGTTTCTTGTGGCTGCAGACCTTCCTTCACTTGTAGTCACATCATTCCTATCTCTGCCTATGTAGTCATATTGCTTCTCCTCTCCTGTATGTGTCAACTTCACCCCTGCCTCTCTTTTAAGGATACCTGTGATTGGATTTAGGTCACACTTGGATAATCCTGGATAATATCTTCCATATTAAGATTGTTAAGTTAATCATATTTGCAAAGACCTTTATATATATGAGATAACATGTACAAGTCTCAGGGATTTTGTGTGGCCAATATTCAGTAAACTGTTTCATGCTAATATCTGTTAAACCATAAGTAAGCAAGAGTTGCTATACTAATATCAAAAAAATACATTTTAAAACAAATCTGTTACTAGAAATGAAGAGGTCTCAATTTCTAAGGGTCAATGCATCAAAAAGATGTAATAATTATAAACATATATGCACCTCACAGCACAGCTGCCAATTGCATAAAGCAAAATCTAACAGATTTGAAGGAGCACATAGATAATCAATAATGAAAAGTAAAAATTTTAATATCCCACTTTCAATAATTTATAGAACAATCAGACAAAAGATGACAAGGAAATAAAATACTTTAGAACTCTCTAATTCAACAGGACCAGACACCTATAGACCATTCCATCCAACAATAACAGAATATGCATTCTTCCCAAGTGCACATGAAACATTCTCAAGGATAGAACATCTGATAAAATAACCCTCAATAAGTAGAAAAGAATTGAAATCATACAAAGTATTCTCTCCAACCACAATGGAGAAAACAGTGAAAATACATTTGGAAAATTTACAAATAAGTAGAAATTAAACACAAAGGTAATTACACAAAAGTAATTACACAAAAGAAATTAAACACAAAGAAATTAAACACAAATTTGATACAAAGGTATCAAATAATAAATTATAAATATATTAGAAAATGCTTTAAAGTAAATGAAAATGAAGACAGAACATGCCAAAAATATGTGGTTCATCTGAAATAATGCTTAGAGGGACATTTATATTTGTAAATGCATACGTTGTAAAAGAAAAAAGATCTCAAATCAGTTGCCTAATTTTTCTCTTGACGGCCTTGAAAAACAAGAGCAAAGTAAATCCAAAGCAAGAAGTTATAAAAATAAAGGAGAAATTAATAAACTGAAGAATAGAAAGCAACACATGAAATCAACAAACCTAAAAGTTGGTTCCTTGAAAAGATCAACAAAAGTGATAAAACTTTAGCTAGATCGGAATGTCTAAGAAAGAGACAGAGAAACAGAGGGAATTGAAATTACTAAATAAAAATAAAACAGAACATTACTACCACTGATTTTACAGAAATATATGTAATTATAAGAGAATAACATGAAAAATTATGTGTTGCATACACCATTACCTAATTAAAGATTAAGTAAAAGAGATACATTTTTAGAAGGACACAAACTACTCAAACTGATTCAGGAATAAATAAAAAATGTAAATACATTTGTAAAAAATATAAAGATGGAATTAGAAATTAGCTCCAGGCCCAGATGGCTTCACCAGTGAATTCTATCAAACATTTAAAGATGAATTAATATTAATTTACTGCTCTTCTAAAAAATAGAAGAGGAGAGAATCATTCTCAACTGATCTGATGAAGCTAATGTTACCCTGATACCAAAATCAGACAAACACAAGAAAAGAAAATTACAAACATTTTATCAATGTAGAAAATAAAACTACAAGGATTTTATGAATATAAATACAGAAATCCTCCACAAATTATGAGCAAACAGAATCCAGAAACACATAAAAAGTATTACATGCTCTATCTGTATAGGATTTTTCTCAGAAATGAAAAATTAGTTTAACATTCAAAAATCAATTGTTTTGAGGAATTAATTATGTTAGGTAAGGGACAAATAATCTAGAGTTCTAAAATAGCTAGAATATAAGTTCTATGTCAAAAAATTTTATCTCTTGTATGTCTTGTACTCATGGCTTCTAGAACAAAGCTTGGCACATAGTTGGTGTTAAAATATCTGTGGAATCAATAAAGAAATGACAAGGACTGTGCTAAATACAGAAAACATTTAATCCTGTAAAGGATCATATCAGGTAAATATTATTACACCTATGTTATTACAAGAAACCAAGACACTAGCCAACTGATTAATTAAATTTATACCTGTGATATTGTAAGGGGAAATTAATGGGCCATAGTTTATAGAACCAAAACTCTGGCAGGAGTACAATTAACCAGCAAGGATTACCCTCTTTAGGTACTCAGCAGTAATTTGGCTAAGTTCCATTGGGTGGTGAAAGTACATTGCTAGGGTAAAGTATTTTATCATTATTATTATTTTACCAGAACTGCAAAGTCATCGACAATAATGAAAAGTAACAGTTTTCAAACGGAACTGAAATCACCCAATTTTTATCCAATAGTCATGAAAGACGTTATAGGAAAACAAGCTATTCTCCCACTATCCATAGCAGATTTCTCTTCTTCCTGGATCTTTCTAATGTTCATTTTTTAAAATATATATTTTGGGTTAGAAATATAATTTTGGGTGCCTTCTTGAAGAGATATGATTCTGGATTATCAAATTAGGCCAAAAATAATGGATTATTTCAATATGTTCAAGATGTGCACAGATCATGGACATTAACAATCAGTAGTACACTCACATACATTCATTCGCCAACAAAGAATGAAAGTAAGAATCAACTGCTGGAAGCTTACAATATGGCAGCTGCTCTGCTTGGCAATGTGGATATAAATGGTGTGCAAGGTATTTTCCAGAACATTAAGGAACTCACACAGTAGCAGTGTGAGGAGGGGGAGAGTCAGAAAGACATCCAAGTTCTTAGCTACACTAAAATGTGAAGAATTATTTGGCTCCTTCTTGAGACCAGTATTCTCATTTTAGTAATTCCATGGTAAGTGGTCCCAATGAAAAACATACTTTTCCTACTTTTTCTTCCCCTTTCCACAAAATGGGTAGGAGTTTAGATAATGCAGCCTCTTGAATTTGAAAACAGGCCAGATGTTTTTTTTTTTAAAACAACACCTCATAAATAAAGAGACATATCTTTTCATCTGCAACCTGTTGACTTTAGCCAAAAATTCTCTTGAATGAAAATATTTTATCTCTGAATTTTCTCTTGAATCTCTCTTTGATGACTTTCTCAGCAGTACATCTCTTGACTGGTCCTCAAATAATGAGAAATTACACAGTTAATGTAGGTAATGTTCACCTGGAATTAAGGGGCAAAAGCTAACCCCTAAGAATTTAGGGAAGCCTACTTTGTTAAAATTGAGAAAAATATTGCCAGAGGTCAGGAGTTCAAGACCAGCCTCAGCAACATGGCGAAACCCCATCTCTACTAAAAATACAAAAATTAGCCATGTGTGGTGGTGGGTGGGCACCTGTAGTCCCAGCTACTAGGGAAGCTGAGGCACAAAAATTGCTTGAACCTCAGAGACAGAAGCTGCAGTGAGCCAAAATCGTGCCACTGCACTAAAGCCTGGGTGACAGAACGAGACCCTGTCTCAAAAAAATAGAATCACAGAATGTATTAAGGACAGTAAATCTTAAAAAAATCCAAATATTTAACATTTAAATAAAATTTAAACTACATTTTTTAAATGGAAAAATAAAAACACATTTAATATCATACAATTATTAATACATATAAAAGCCATGTATGGTGGCTCGCACCTGTAGTCCCAGCTACTCAAGAAACTGAGGCAGGAGGATCTCTTGAGCCCAGGAGTTTGAGGCTAAAGTCAGCTATGATTATACCACTGAATTCTAGCCTGGGTGACAGTATGAGATCTTTTCTCTAACAAACAAACAAACAAAAACAATTATCTATATGTATGTTAATCATTTTATTAATTTTTCTATATGTATAGTCAAATTGTAAACAACCACCATGAAGCTATGTATACTGTCTATCCATCTACTATTTAAGAATGGCAAACTGATATCCATTTCATGTTATTTAGCAAATACACAATGAAATATATCAAAGCAATATATTTTCCCTCAAAGTCTTTCCTAATTCAATAATAAGAGCAATATTGTAAAAATATTCATTAAACACATGTAGGTTATTGACCTCTATTGCTGAAAAAAAACCTGAAGGCCAGTCAGCCTTAAAAGACAAATATATCTTAATGATTGTTATGCCTGGATTAATTGCATTTATTTACCGATATTTTCTGCTCAAAAATAGAGACAATGCACAAAATGATGTTCAACTCACACATCAGAAAATAAAGGTATCATCTATCTAATAGTCATACAATTATTTTCTAATTGTTAAATTATTCCCAAATGTTCATTTAGATATATTTTTAATTATATCTTATTAACACTGGGAAATTTAGTTACTTCTTTTTTCTGTAAAATTAATTAAATTGACATGAGGTATTAACACTAGTGTATTCTGAAATATTTTTCAGAAAGAGCATTTTATTTTTTCTTTATGGGATAGATAATGTCAAGTATTTTTACACGTTTTAAGATTTTTCAAGGAAAATGAAATAAGTAAGATTACTATAATTGAGATTAAGAAGTATACGCCTCCCTAGTTGAAATGGAAATAGTGCCGAAAATTTAATTGGGATCAATTACACTGTGGAATTGACGATGCCTGACTCTTCCCATAGATGCCATTATACCTCCCACAGGCTTAGTCATCGCGTTTATTACAAAGACCTCAACATAATGCTATGCCAACTCGCATGGACCCTGACATCACATAATGCAATGTGCATTCTCAGTTTATTCCATTTGCACAAATAAATTCCCACAAACAGAATTTAGGAAGAGATACAAACAAACAGCATGTTACACCTAAACAATAACCCATGTTTTCCTTCCATTATAAGTAACAATATTTGTTTGTAATATCTCTGCTGCAGTGACTCTGCATGAGGTGATTCACATTCATTGTATCATGTTGATACTTCACATATTGGAGGTAGATGTTATTAAGTTAATTGTATTGACAACTTCTTTTCATACGGTTTAAGTAAGATGTCCAAAGCCACACAGCTAGTAAATGCCAGAGTTAAGGTTGCACTTTTTCACTCCAAGACCTGTGCTCTGTAAACACTTTTCCTCCCTGATTTTTTCCATGAAATATGGATTTGTGTTTACGAAGATTTAGCAGTATAAATAAGCTCATCAAAACATGCCACATGTGTAATATGGGGACATGTTATTTCACCTCACTGCTTTAGTTCCTTCCGTTGGAGCATTGAGAACAACTCAGGAGACTGCCAGGATAAAGCGCACTGACTGCTCTTAGGACAGCATATGACATACCAAGCTTTCTATAGATATTAGCAATGCTTCTTGCCCCCACCTCCACTCTCTGCCCTCCCTCATCCTTCTGCCCACACACACAGCAGCCTAGACTGCGGGTTCCTGAATTAGCCCTCCAAGACTTACAGCCTTTACTTCTGACTCCACTTCTTAATAGCTGTGTGACATTTTAAAGGGAACTCAGCCTCTCTCTGACTCAGTTTCACATTTGTAAAACAGACAGATTAGTAGTGCCTAATTCATAGAGATTGAGTATATTAAGTTAGATACATCGCACTCACTGTGTAGAATAGTGTTTGGCATTTAGGAAGCATGCTGAACTCTTGTCCTTGATTCATTTTGGGCTATCAAAATGAGATTGTTTTCTATATTTCTTCAGTTAGTGAAAGTGCATTTTGAAAAAAAAACAACTTGAGCTCCCTTCAGAGAATTAGAAAGATGCACAGAAAGTTAAAATGCAGAAGAGGCATTTTACCATTTTTTTAAACCAGCAAATATCATCAATAATATGCTTATTATTATTCTTATTAATAATACTCAGCACTGTAATTCATGCCATCCTCTGGGCCAAATTTGTTCCCTCTGCTGAGAGTTCAGTTCTGTGGGCCATCTTTAAATTTGTCCATGTTATTCAAGTGTCTTAAAGGAAGACTGATGGCCTAATGACCTAAGCATATTCATTCCCCAGTGAAAACAGTTCCTTAGCTCTGACCCTGTTTTAAACAAGAAACAAACTTAGTTGGCATTATCTTATCTCCACTAACCAATCAGGGGCAAAAGCATCTGTAGGTGGCTTTTACGTCTCTCTTTAAAAATAGCAGTTGCTGGCCATGGGCGGTGGCTCACGCCTGTAATCCCAGCACTTTGGGAGGCCGAGGCTGGCAGATCACGAGGTCAGGAGATCGAGACTATCCTGGCTAATACGGTGAAACCCTGTCTCTACTAAAAATACAAAAAATTAGCCGGGCGCGGTGGCGGGCGCCTGTAGTCCCAGCTACTCGGGAGGCTGAGGCAGGAGAATGGCGTGAACCCGGGAGGCGGAGCTTGCAGTGAGCCGAGATCGCGCCACTGCACTCCAGCCTGGGCGACAGAGCCAGACTCCGTCTAAAAACAAAAAAAAATGTATATATATGTGTATATATATATATATATATACACACACATACACATTTTATATATATATAGTGTGTATATATACATTATATATAATACATTATATATAATGTATATATACACACATTATATATAATGTATATATACACACATTATATATAATGTATATATACACATTATTATATATAATGTGTATATATATACATTATATATATATAATACAGTTGCTTTAAGTAGACAAGGTAAGGAGTCAAAGGCATTCAACACTAAGTGTCTAAAAGACCTACTTCTTCAGAGGGCGCCATGAAACAATTTCTTATAGGATGCATAGAGTGGAAAGTAACCCAATTCATTCTTGAGCTGAGAAGAAATGATGGAGGTATTGTTAAGATATTTTAAGTTTACTTACAATAACTGCTTTGTGAAGTTATTTTTGCAAGTAGGGAGTAATATGTATTTTTCCACCTCACCTCCTTTCCATGGCTAGTTGGAAGTAATTGAAGTTTGTGGCAAACTTCTTAGTTATGTTCACGATTAGATAGCTATTTCTGGGAGGATTTGCAAAATTATCCTTTGTTTCTGTGTCTGTTAAATTATAGTTTTTACTAAACATTACCTAATGGTAATCCTCCACAGTCTATCAGCTTGTAATACTCCTTCATGAGCTAACACCTCATTAAACCAGTGTCTTGATTCAGAACGAGGTGTAATTCAAAACAACTGCTATTCCCTAGCCAAATAAAATTTGTAATATTATCAAACAAAATATCAGGAAATCCAAACTTGCTAATTAAAGCTGGGTTTTTTTGGGTTTCATGCATTTTTATTTTAATGAGGCTCTACAAAATTGGTCTTGCATATTTTTACCAGCGACCTAAATACCTCATATACAAATATTTTTGGCCTAAGACATATATCAATAATTTACATATTGTGCATGTTATCTCATGTTCTCATACAAACACATATATGCATACACATATGTGTATAGCTGACAAATAGTTTTGAGGTTACAAAATATACAATGTTAAAGCAGCATGTTAATTCACTATTATGAATGGTTGGGGTCTTGCAAATCAAATTAATCTAGAGTAGACATTGTTATGGCAGTCTTCATTCAAGAATTCCATGTTTCATTGTGTAATACTCAATTTGCCTAGCCAAAAGATTGCATATAATAGGTTTAGAATAAATATTTGGTGAATACATGAATGAATTCTGGGATAGCAATTTATTGTAGATTTTTGTTATGCAAAGTGCCAAATTCTGTTGAAAATTCTGTAAGGTAGATGTGTCTTATGATGCAAATGAATCTTAATCATAAGAAATTATGAAAAAACATAAGACAAAACAGATCATAGAAAATGCCATAAGAGAGCCTGACAGAAGAAAAGGAAATTGTGGAAAAGAGAGAAATTAACTGTGGCTCAGGGAATTTTGAATGACCATTAGTAAAATTGGGAAACTTTAGTGAACACAAAAAGATGCAATATAAAAGCCTGTATTTGCGTTTGTTAAACACAGGAAAAAATAGGTAATGAAATTTAAGATTCTACAAAGTACTTATATTATAAGAAAGTAGTTTTCCTATTTAAAAGCTACTACTGGCATTTCCTGGAGTTTTAAATTTTACATCGTTATATAAATATGAACTTCTCATGTATACTTTTATTCTACTACAATTTTTTCTCTTTCTTTTCTTCATTTTTATTGCTTGGCTTCTATCTCCCTCACACATGTCTCTTCTATTTTCCCCAGTATATCTACAAACAACTCCAAGAAGCACATGTCACAAGCTAATAGGAATTTACCCATATTTTATGCTTATATGTTTTATAATATATGCATATGTATAGACATAAATATTATAAAATAATATTTTATATATACTTTATTTTATATTTTTATTTTATATTTTGCTTTTCACACTAAATAACTGATTTATGCCTAATTTCTTTTGCAATCTCAGTAACATTTTATTTTATGCTATTGATATACTACAAGTTGTTGCATGAACAGTGCTTCAGTAGATGGCCATATGCATGTACGTTTTTCACTTCGAGGAATTTTGTTGCTACAGTATAGAGACTCTCAACACTTATTTTTGCTTTCAAAAATATTCTAAAACCTCTGTTTTCACTATTAATGTTTATGCTCCCCAACCTCCTGACAGCATCAAGTATGTGATTTTGTTGTTGCTGTTGTTCTGATGTGGGGTAAAATGATGTCTCACTGTTTCATTACTTTGAAGTTCCATGCCTACTGATATTCTCCTGTTTAAATGGACTCTGTCTCTCTCTTCCTAACACAGAATATTCTTCTGTGCATATATATATATATATATATAATTATTCTGTGTGGTGTATATATAGATAGAGAGAGTCCATTTTTCTATTGGATTGTGGGTTATTTTTGGTTTTTTGCCATTTTAAAAAGGTTGAATATTATAAATATTATAGACATTAGCCTTTTATCTTTTGTTAGTCTGTTTTTTTTTTTTAACCTATCACTTATCTCTTTTAACTGGATTTTGACAGAGAAATGGTTTCTGTGGGTAGCTTGGGGTTTTCAGATTCAGTTAGAGGCTTCTTTTCACCCACCTATGTCCTTGATTATTCTGTTAGGGTTTCTCACAATAGTTTCACTTTTTAATTTTCTTGTGCATGAGGCTTTAGTTACCTAGAATTTATTTTCTATAATGCAATACATGAGTGTAGTTTCATTTTATTCTCAGTTGATACCCAAACATGCCAGCTTTATTCATTACATAATTTTGATCCACATTTAGTCACCCTCCCCTTACTTTTACTTGCCTAGAAGGTTAAGCGGTCCAGGTGTTGTGACTATTGGCCTGGATGTCAGACAGAGTTACAACCCAATGCCTTTTTTTTCAAGCTGCGGAACATGGAATCAGTTGCTTATCCTTCTCTAACTTTTTATTTCCTCATAATTGGAATGGGCCCAGTGATACTTCTCAATGTTGTGAAAATTAGATTGGGTAACATGGGAAACGTCAGCACACAGCCTCATACATAATAAGTGCTCAGTACGTGCCAACTGTAATTATTTACTGTTTGTCATTATTAAAGTCACCTGGTTATGCTAAATCATTACTACTAAGCAGCTAGGATGCTGAAGCAAATGAAATGAACCGTTTAATTTAAATATATAATGAGTGGTGACCTATGATGCACTGTGGAATTGTGTCTATTAGATTTAGAGAAAAGAATTTTCTTTCGCAGATTCACCACAAGAAAAAGGCAAACCACATCACAATCACTGATTTTCCTAGACGTGTTGGTTTAGAAATTGGCTAATCTTCTGGCCCCAGCAGTCTAAGGCTATCCCAATGCCCTAATGTTATCTCAATGTTTCTAAGGGTGTCCCTTTGTTCCAGAAACACTATTCTTAAATCTATCCAAATAACTCTGATATTATATCATTATTCCTAAGCCTAGCCTCACATTGTAGGTTTATATACTTTGTCTTAGTAGTTAACTATAAGTACAACTTTTTAAATTCTCCAAGGTATATTTATTAGCTGTTAATATTAAACAAGAAAAACTGATAACATGTACAAAAACACGACAAAATACTGCCCCAACTGAAATTCAACTGCTAGCTAGATTTTCAATTAGCCTTCTATAAACATGCTTCTAAAATTTACAATATCCTTGCAATATAATAGCTACGCATGTGATTCTGGTTGCTTATATTCAGTTAGACAGAGGGTCACGATATGACCTTTTTTTGTAAAATATCCATTCTCCTTTTCTTACCAGACTAGCCCAGATGAATTAAAAAAAAAAAAACAACTCATGTTAGGGTTTCCTTTTTGGATTATATGCTCATTCATTAACATCTTCCTTCAATGATGACTAAGACATAATGTTAGTTAGAGGACAGTTAAGGCTTTGAGATTATAGATAGCCAAGCCAAAGGGCATGCCTAAAGGATAGGAATGAGCTAAAATCTTAGGTTAAGATTTCCACAGGCCGGGCACGGTGGCTCAAGCCTGTAATCCCAGCACTTTGGGAGGCCGAGGCAGGCGGATCACGAGGTCAGGAGATCGAGACCATCCTGGCTAACACGGTGAAAACCCGTCTCTACTGAAAATACAAAAAAAATTAGCCAGCCGTGGGGGCAGGCGCCTGTAGTCCCAGCTACTAGGGAGGCTGAGGCAGGAGAATGGCGTGAACCCGGGAGGCGGAACTTGCAATGAGCAGAGATTGCGCCACTGCTCTCCAGCCTGGGTGACAGAGTGAGACTCTGTCTCAAAAAAAGGAAAAAAAAAATTTTTTTTCCGCAGAGGCCAGAACCTGCATTTGGAGAAGATAAAGCCTGTAACACTCTCTCGGGACGTTTGATATCTGCTTGCTATTCACTCCTACAGACTGACAGCTTTTCAGAGCTCTGTTTATGCTCTTTGTGCAAAATGTAGTTGACTTCTGAACCCTAACAGGCTCCCTGCTTGGGAATGGAAATGTAGGTTTTCTCTGGATACTTCTATTTGTGGATAATTCCATTTATGTGCTTCAGTAACAATTGCATCCCATGTGGGGTGTGGCTCTGGTGAGGTGTCACTGGCAGAGTGGTCCAAGGACAGCATTAAGTATCTGCATAGTGAGGGCAGAAGGTGACAAAAATCAACCAGCTGCTTAGCATGCTGAGAAAATCCTGCCTTTACCTTGGGGCCCACCCACAAAGGTCCTCTCTATGCTGCTACCTTAAAGAGCATATGCTGAAATCTTAAGGTTTTTCATATCAAATATAATTTTTATTGTGTGCAATATGGCAAGTTGAAGATTTAATAGCTTGAACCAAAGGATACTGATGAAGTAATAATGATTAACTGTTCAAATCAATGAATTTTACAGTTGAAACTATAATATGAGATACAATGAACATATTTTTATATTATGGAAAACTAGACTGTTTGCATTCCTAAATTTGCTAAACACATTTTTTGCCTTTCTTAATGAGTCCTCCAGGTGGCATTTGAGATAAGGCCTTCCATGAAGGTAATTTATTTTGGAAAACGATCCCAGAGAACAGAACTGGGGGGCCTGGGAGAGCAAAACATAGAAGGAACAAAAGCCAATAGAAACATATGGTTTTAAGATATTCATTGTGGGAAGCAGTATGACGATTCCTCAAAGAGCTAAAAGCAGAACTGCCATTCAACCTAGGAATCTCATTACTGGGTATATGCCCAGAGGAATATAAATCATTCCGCCACAAAGACACATGCATGTGAATGTTCATGGCAGCACTATTCACAATAGCAAAGACATGGAATGAACCAATCAGTAACACAGATTGGATAAAGAAAATGTGGTACATATACACCATGGACTATTATGCAGCCATAAAAAGAATGAGATCATGTCTTTTGCAGGAACATGGATGGAGCTGGAGGCTATTATCCTTAGCAAGCTAACACAGGAATAGAAAACCAAATATCACATATTCTTGCTTATAAGTGGGAGCTAAATGACGAGAACTCATGAACACAAAGAAGGGAAAAACAGACACTGAGGTCTATTTGCAGGTGGAGGGTAGGAGGAAGGAGAGAAGCAGAAAAGATAACTATTAGGTCCTTGGCTTAATACCTGGGTGATAAAATAATCTGTACAACAAACCCCCATGACACAATTTCACAGATGTAACAAACCTCCACATATACTCCTGAACCTAACATAAAAGTTTAACAAAATTTTCACCACTTTGGGAAATGAGGGCTCAGCTCCACCGGAACACTCTGATACATATAGTCTGAACACAGAATTGTTGGTCAGAGAGGCTGAAGAGGGACGCACTTTTCAGCTCAAGGGTTGCCCCATGCGACAATAATTCATTTAGACCTCCAGTCTTGAGTGTTTGCCTGGGGACAGGACAATCAAAAATTAGAGAGTGACAAATGTGCAGTGACACTGGTTACACATGTATGAAACTGGTGACAATAGCAAGGGCTAAAGTCACAAGCCAAATAGTGGGGGCTGGGGCATAAGAGGTGTCGCCTACATTACCATGACTTTGGAAGTTTTTACACCAACTGTATCTAAGATGAGCTTTGAAAATATAGTTACCTTATGGCTTGTTCTTGCATTATGCTGCATGAAATATCCTTTTTTCAGAAAAGCAAACTGGATTGTAAATGACACAACCTCAGCAATTATTTTCCTCAAAGCCAGAAATCATGAAGAGCATCAAATCTTGTGACCCAAACTTAGGCTTAACATTATGAAAGAGGAAAGGAGGTTTCTGACACTAGAAGGAACCCTCTCTCAAGTCAAGAGAACATTTGAAATAGATGCTACCCATGAGGTGCCACAGGCCTTTAAAAGAAACATTTGTCCTTGCCTCTCATCTTCAGTCCCTGTTGTAGAGGTGCAAAGGTCTGAGCAGTGGAAGATCATTGGATGGCTTACAAATCTTGGCTCTTCACTTCTCATCTAAATTATGAATTATCAATTTCCGGCAGCAACTTTCAATCCCTTGTCATCTGACAGTGACCAGTCAGTCATGAAATAAAATTAAAAAATCAGATACACTCTGGTGTTTCAGAAGAGCAGGAATAATTCACTGTTCAAAAACACAAAACAGAGAATTCTATCTAGAAAAACAGATTAAATTTTTTGTCATGGTTAATGCCATATACTGTAAATCAATGCTCATCATATTCTATTGATGGATTAGAAAATGTCCAAAGTATTGAGAGCTGCAAAGCAGTCTCATCAAAGAAAACAGCAAGAATTCTACTAGAAATTAAAGAATTATGGAAGTCTTCCAATGCTCATCATAGTGGACTTTATTCTTTGATTTTATTGTTGTCAGTCCTCTAATAGCCTTAAAATTAGCCAACTAGTTCCTTAAAAACTAATTTCCATCAAAAAGAATAATAAAATTATCAATAGTCTTAAACACATGTTTGAAATAGCAATTCTGGAAATCTCACTCTTTTAAGTATTATCTTCAAGATATTCTAATACTTTGTGTTTTGAGAGCTGCAACATCTTTTTCTAGATGTTTCCTAGAAAGAAAAGAGGTAAAATACACACAATGAAGTAGGAATGTAATCTACAAGTTTTGTATTAGATATTCGAGCCTCTTAATGTATTATGATTTTACTTATAAGGGATCAATAAGTATTACTCCTGTTTTACCATTTTCACATGCCTTTATAGGCAATAACAATTATGGGTTTCCTCACATGATCATATTTAAATATAAGCAACTTACTGTTTGGGGAATCATGTGTATTATTAAGCTGAAACAAATGCTCTCATTGAACTTAATGAAATCTACAGTCTCAAGTGCCTGGAAAATCATTACAAATAAGGTGAATTCAAATAAGCCAAAGCACAATTATTAGGTTTAATTCCTAAAATAAAATTAGTCCATCTAAAAGTAATAAGCGTGGTAACTCTGACATAACAACTTCTTCACCAAACAACTCTTCCTTTGTACTTTAATAAAGGTAGCTTTTTATTCCTTTTTGTGCAGCTTTCCTATTGCCTTACTGTCACTTGAAACCCGCAACATACGACCTTAACTTCGTGAACTACCACCTGCATTACAATGTATGACTCATCAGTTTTCTGATGAGTCTAAAGTTCCTTTGACTCAGGCTTTGGAAGAGGATGTGGAATGATGAAGGCATTGATTTGGAAAGAGTGCATATTAGGACAAATCTACTTTGTACTTGGAAAGGGTTGTTCTTAAACATCTGTGAACAAATTTGTGCAAATGGAACACTCACTTCTGAGTGAAAACTACTGCATGAAATGCTTTTTATCACTGAAACTACTTAGAGATCTAAGGCATCAAATTCCTTTACAGTTAAATTTTGTGGAATTAATTTTTCAAATGGAATTTGTATTTTCTTCAATGGCTCTGATTTTAAAGCTTCTGCAGATTTATAGTTCAAGATGGTGAAATGCATCCACATCTACACCCTTCTTTCCAAAATCTATGAAAAGGATAGAAAATCGCATACACACATAAATGTGTGTGTGTGTGTGTGTGTAGACATGTGTCTGCCTGTGTCTGTATAGCTATATCTATACTATACATATGCACATGCACCAAGGACACATATACACTGCCATAAATACCTATACTATAATATTCTGCTATATGCTATAACATAGAACTACTCAAAAAAGAAATCTTTTAGCAAAATGGAAAGTCTAAAGAATTTCTAAAAAAGCAAATATATTCAGATTTGTCAAAAGCACACTGCTGTGAAATCTATTGTTCAAAGCTCTAATGGTAGGACTATTGTTTCTCAGTGGATGTTGATATGGTTTGACTGTGTCCCCACCCAAATCTCATCTTGAATTGTAACTCCCACAATTCCCCCGTGAGGGACCCAGTGGGAGGTAATGGAATCATGGGGGTGGGTCTTTCTTGTGCTGTTCTCATGATAGAGAATTAGTCTCACAAGATCTAATGGTTTCAAAAAGAGGAATTCCCCTGCACAAGGTCTCTTTCTTTCTCAATCTCTGTGCCTGACACCATCCATGTAAGACGTGACTTGCTCCTCCTTACCTTCCTCCATGATTGTGAGGCCTCCCCAGCCATCTGGAACCTCTTGTTCTTCCCAGTTTCAGGTATGCCTTTATCAGCAGCATGAAAACAGACTAATTCAGAGGCCCAGAGAAGAATCAATCACACAGCCAAAAATTAAAAAAGGAAAGTCATCAGCACAGTTATTGGGCCCCTCTCTTTCTATGCTTGTCAGCTATGACTTTTATACACAGGGCAAAACCCAGAGAGGTACATTGAAACACAAGTAAGGGATCAATGAGAAGTCTACTGATATGAGAGACTCAAAAAAATAAACAAATAAAGTAAGGGAGGGAGGGGAACTCAGCATTTCCCCATATGTATGCATGGAATGGGGTGGAGGAAAGAAAAATAATGCAAGGGTAAAGGCATAGCTCCATGCAGGAGTGAAATTTAGTAGATGAAATACATCTGCAAACGCATTTCTTAATTTGGCAACTTGGGAGTTCCTAGCTGGCTACCACTATCCCCCTGCCAAGATCCACTACCCTAAACAGAACCCACACCTCATCTTGCATTTTAAGAAAGCCTTCTGAGGGAAACATACCTACACAACTGCAAAGAAAACCCAGCTCGGTAACTAAAATAATCAACCTAATTCTGGGTCATGAGGAAAAAGAGAAAAATGCAGAGTAAATAAAAATAATTAAGGGATCAGGAAAGAACAAGATAAAGGTAAAATAAATATTCTCAGAAATTCAAGATTATTATGCAAGAAGATACAGTTTTTGGAAACAAAAAATTATAAAACATAAATATTTTTTGCAGTTAAAAAGTATCATCAAAATCTTCTGTTAAAAAGTGAATATTTCAGTCCCACAAAAATTCATATGTGGAGATCCTAACCGCCAATGTGATGGTATTAGGAGGTGGAGCTTTTGGGAGATTATTAGGTCATGAGAGTAGAGCCCCTGATGATAGGATCAATGCCGTTATACAAGGATCCTGGAGAGCTATGTCACTTTTTCTGTCATGTGAGAGTACAGCAAGACGAACCAGGAAGCAGATTCTCACCCAACACCCAATCTGTCAGCACCATGACTGTGGACTTCCCAGGCTCCTGAGCTGTGAGAAATAAATGTTTGTTGCTAAGCCACCTAGTTTATGATATTTTTGTTGTAGCAGCCTGAATGGATTAAAACAAAAGTTGGTACTGAGAAGAGGGGCTGCTGCTGTAACAAATACTATGTAAAAATGTGAAAGTGGCTTTGGAGCTAAGTAGAGGCTGGGAGATTGTTGAGGTGCATGCTAGAAATGTGGACATTAACATTAATTCTGATGAGGGATCAGAAAGAAAAGAAGAGTTAGAATGTAAGCCTTAATCTTCTTGGGAAATACCTAAGTAATAGTAAAGAGGATTTGGTGAAAACATGGACAGCAAAGTCCACTGTGATGAGTTCTCCAAAGGAAATGAAGAATATGCTATTGAAAACCAGAGGAAAGCCAATTCTTGATATAAATTGACAAAGAACTTGACTGAATTGTGTTCCTGTTTTAGTGTTTTGTAGAAGCTAGAATTTGTCAGCTACCAAATTCAATGTTTAGCTAAAGGGATGTCTAAGTGAAGTGTTGAAGATATGGCTTGGCTTCTCCTGAGTGCTTACAGTAAAACGCATGAAGAAATGACTTAAAGCTGAAATTCTTTAGCAAACAGGAAGCAGAACTTAATGATTTGGAAAATTCCCAGCCTATCTATATGGCAAAAAATTAGAACAGTAAGGTTGTGGCTAACCAATCGTTTAATAAGATTAGTATGGATTTTCCATCTCAACAGAAGCCAGATGTTATTTTTCAAGACAATGTAAGCATGACCCCAAAGATAATTCAGTGATTGGCAGGGCATTCCCTCCTATCACAAGCCCAGAAAGCACAGGCCCAGAGAGCATAGATGCCATCACCTAGGTTACAAAGAACAGTGCTGCTCAGTCTCAGGGCTGGAAACCCATTCAGGAGAGACTTGGGTGCAGAGTTTGAGCCTAGCAGAACTGCAGGGACCTAGCAGAGAACATTACTGGTTGGGGCCCCATTAGAGAACCACTGTAGGGCTTTCTTATCAAGCCATGGGTGTGATGTTGCCATCCAATGGACATGGAAGAAAGAGCATCCAGCCAAAAGGAATAATTCTTGAGCCTTAAGGTTTAATGTAGTTTGCCCTGTTAGGTTTTGAACTTACTTGGAAGCCATTACTCTTTTACTATTTCCTATTTTTCCCTTTTGGAATGGGAATATCTACCCTATGCCTGTTCCACCATTGTGTTTTGAAAGCTTATAACATGTTTGGTTTCACAGGTTCATAGTTAGAGAAGAATTTGCTTCAGAATGAATCATACTCTACATCTCATCCATGTATGCTTTAGGTGATACATAGATGAGACTTTGAACTTAGACTTCACAGTTGATGCTAGAACAACTGAAGATTTTGGGGACTGCTAGGGTGAGACTAGTGTATTTTGGGTGTGACAAGGATATAAATTGTGAATAACTAGAAATGAAATGTTATGGATTAAATATGTATGTCCCCCCAAAATTCATATTTCAAAGCTCTAGCCCCCAAAGTGGTGGTATTGGGAGGTGGGGTATTTGGGAGGTGATTAGGTCATGAGGGTGGAGCTTCATGAATAAGATTAGTGCCATTGTCAAGGGAACCCAGAGAGCTCTTTGACTCTTTTTCCAACATGTGAGATCACAACAAGAAGATGCCTGTTTATGAACGAGGAAGCTAAGTGGGCCCTCATGAGACAGCAGATCTTCCAGTGCCTTGATTTCAAACTTTCCAGCCTCCAGAACTATGAGAAATAAATCTTGGTTGTTTAAGCCATCAAGTTTATGGTATTTTTGTTAAAGCAGCCCGAACAGACAAAGGCATTTTTCTTACAGAAGAATTGCAAATAATTTACCTGTATACTTTCCTCTCCAGAAAGTAGAGCTTTATTTCTACACACTTTCTCTTTGTTCAGGAGCTATACTTACAGATTCTATTCAAAGACTAGGTTAGAATAAGAAAGCAGTATCTTTAGAGAAACTTAGCAAACAGTTACCTCAGTCAACTGTTTAAGTGACATTAGTGATATCACATGGATATAATGTGATAAAAAAGCTACTTCACCTGTGTGGAATTCTTCCCCAAAATTTATAACCTCAATCTAGTCAAAAGAAAAACACAAGACAATCCTAGATTGTAGGACTGTCTGCAAGATACCTGGCCAGTACTCTTCAATATTATTTTGCTGTTGTGGAAAAATAAAGACTGAAAAAAACTGTCACAAACTAGAGGGGACTTGGGAAGCATAACACTGAAATGCAATATTGTGTGCTGGATTCGATTCTAAAACAGAAAGATGACATCAATTTTAAAATTGGTGTAATATAAGTAAAATTCAGAATTTACTTAATATTAATGTACCAATAATGAGTTTCTTGGTTTTGACAAATGCACATGGTAATGTAGTTGTCAATAATGAGGGAAAATTGGGTGAGAAGTACACAGTAACTTTCCTTACTACTTTCAACTTTTCTTTAAATCTAAAATTATTCCAAAATTTAAAAGCTTATTAAAATTGTGGTTGCCAAATAAAACTTAGCAAATGTTGCTATAGCAGAAAAGCCACAAAGTAGCTGAGATCTGAAATATTTATTGTGCATTTATTAGGAAATCTAAAAAGAGAAAAATGAATCAATGGATATGAGGAAATAGGCATAAGTAAAAGAAAGACACCAATTTTAGAATAAAAGTGACAACAGGAACAAACGCATAAAAAGATGAACACACAATCATTGGCTGCTGGCATATCTGCACTCAAGAATAGAGTAAAAATTCTCCTGAATAGAAACAACTACAGCAATATTATCTAAGAAGAGAATGAAAATGAAACTGATACTAAGCATATGATGATCTACAATGAAGACGATAGAGTAATGCTTCAATAATTTTAATTTTTGAATTCTATACCCAGCCAAAGTCTCAATTATACATGAGGAAAAAATAGATGAATTTGTAGGAACTTAGGGTGCACCAAATTTAAAAACCACAGAAACTTTGTGAAATAATTACTGAGATATGTACCAGTAAAACTGAAAACAAAAGCCAAGAAAGGATAATATTTTTTTCTAGAAAATGATTACATTTTCAAAGATTTTAAGGAAAAATAGATCCCAAAAAATAAATGAACAGATAATCCATATAATCTTTACATGTGGGAAGTTCTGATTTCAGCAGCACAGAATTGGTTATAGTTAACAAAAGAGAGTAGAATTGTGTGTCCTCACCACAAAAAAAAAAAAGATGAGATGTAATACATTTGTTGATTAGCTTAATTTAGCCATTTCATAATGTATACATATATCAAAATATCATGTTCAACATCAATATATGTAAGTTTTGTCAATTAACAAATAGAAAATAACAATAATTATCATACAAAGTAAAAATAAAAGAGTACTTAAAAATGTGAAATGTTAAAATAGTTGTTTCTGGGAAGAGAGAATCAAGTGGAACAATGATTTCCTTTTAATTCTCACACTTTTCTATGCTTTCCCACCATTTTATTATTGGATTTCTTAGTTTTAAATTAATAATCTTTAAAAGTGCTTTCTAAACTAACCTGAGAAAAACTTAAAACACAGGACCCAAACATCCAGTCATATGAAGGAAATATATTGTGCTATTCGTATGTCTTTATTTTTCTTCTGTTCTTGCATTTTTTCATTAACTTAGGAGTTACAGAGAATGTAACATGGTCAGTAATATTAAACACAAATGTTTTTTTATTTATGGAACAAAACAATTTCAAATACATTACAACTAACCTGTCCTAACCTGGCTCCACAGTCTGTCTCCAGACTTTCTCCTCATACTTGATTTCTTGCTTCTCCTTAAAACAGACAGTGAATCATTCACCCATTCATTTGATTAGCATGGACTATTGCAGGGTTAAAGTTTATAATGAACTTACAATCTAGAAGAAATATAGACATGCAAAAACATCAATTACATAATAATATACATGTGTTTTAATAACAGTGAAAAAGTATTATGTGAAGAGAGTGCACACCTATGTTCCTGTGTGGTCAGGAAAAGCTCTGCAGAGGACACATACTTGTGCTCAACTTAAAGCATTAAGGAGGAATTCAACGGTACGTTTTAGAGTTGGAATTGCTCAGGCTGAGTGAGAGGTAGCACTGCCCACCTCATCTAGCCAGTAAGTGACAGAATTAGGATTTGAATCTACTTCATGACCTCAACCACCATGCCTCACTGTCTGTGACCATCTGCCAGTTGTATAGTCATACATTTAGAAACAAAGCCAGAGAGATCATAATAATTAGAGTGAGGCACAACTACATTTTTTTCAATACTATTCAATAGGTAATAATGATGATGGCATTACTAAGAAACCGGCAGACACTACAGTCTTCATTTACAAAATTGGATGAGATAATGAGGAGCACTGTGACCTCATCACAAGCTTTCGCCAACAAGCCCACTTTAGTCTACTGATCAAACCAGGCAAACACCATGCTGCAAAGCTGAATCTGTTCCAGTACTTAAATCTGCTATTCATTTTAATGATGGTCACATGTAAGTCACCTGCTCCATTTCTGAAACTATGTCATGGGGACATGGTCTCAATGCCACCTTATTTTCCTTCTAGAGGTAAATTGAACAACCCCCAATATTAGCCCATAGCTGCTAAATAGAAGCCTATAAATCCAGATGCATCTTTGGGACCAGCACAATGCTCCTTAATCACTTTACTCATTACTGCTTTAGCAAAACACTCAAGGCAAAATAGACAGCAAAGGGTGGATCTATTTTCAGTAATTGGCATTGTGTAAACATGTGCAGCCAGTCAGTCCTTGAGGTATGACACTTCAGTATCACATATACATGCTTGAATTAGGTAGAAGTCATGTCCAATATAAAAATATTTATATGCCTATTTTTACTTATTTTATAAAATTATGCAACCAAAATCATCTGCTTTCTCAAATCTAATACTTCAAGAATCAATTTTAAATATGATTTAAAGACTAAGAGATCCTTCATAATATGAGAAAATCATTCATGTATTCATAAATTAATATATATATAAGTAATTGTATTTGTCTGTGTATGTATATGTGAATGTCTACTGAATGACAGGCATTATATTACACAAATCATAGGTTGATGAATTATACAGTGCCCTTGGGTAGCTCTCCAATCAGTAAGGGAGAGAAAGAAGTAAATAGATAACTGCAAAATGTCAGGCAGGACCTGACCCTTAGGGACTTGGAGCTTGGCTTTAGGAAGAAGGGCCTCCAGCACAGAAGTACAGCTTTAACAATATCCATCATGGGCCAGTGCAACTCAATATTTACACCTCGCCTTCTCCCAGCATACCCCAGGGTCTCACTCCTGCTTTGATTGATGGGGTTTTTCTTTGCTTCTGTCCTTTCTCTGGCTTTGGCTCTTGATTTAACTGTGTCTCTGGCCTTGTGGATCCACTGCATTGTCTCCTTGTTCACAGCTTGTCTCCTTGCTCCAAGTCTCTCAGCCAATTAAGAATGATAACATTGTAATTGACATCTGGCTGGGCCTTATTGTGAATGGAGCCAGTAGAGAGTAGGAATCTGATTCAGGGGTTTACTAGGAAAGACAGGATTTAGTCCGTATTAGATAAGAGCATAGTGTGTGCGTGTGTGTGTGTGTGTGTGTGTGTGTTTAGGAAGACATAGAAACTTACAATAAGGAAAAAAAATTGAGTTTCAGAATATGGACACATTTTTAATTTCGGACATTTTCTTGGTTATGATGATACAAAATAAATTGAAGAAGTAGGCAATGTTAAAAGAAAGACATATTATATGTAAGTAAATATGTGGATACATTGGATGCATGTAAGCATAGATTCCTAGTCTCCACAAATATCAGCTTATCTAAAACAAGTGAAAAAACAATTATAAACAATTACCTTATCAATGTTTAAATGAGGTTCATTATTCTCAGAATCACTGAAATTTACCTAGGTAGGGCAATGTTTTTCTGCTCGTGTTTACAGTAGGCCCAATTTAGATTCCTAATGCATGGCATTCCCCTTTACTGGGGTTCAAACATTCACTCCATGCATATTTTGGAACACCTTCTATGTTGAGGATATAAAAAGAAATAAAAAATAAGCAAATAAACATTAACTACATGAAGTGACAATATGTGCTATGAAGGCAAGAAAAACAGAGAGTTTGACAGGGATGCGGGTTGCACTTTAGTTACATTGGTCAGAGAAGTTCTCTCTGATAAGATGACCCATGGAATACAAGCCACATGAGGTCAAGGAGAAAGCTAGGTGGGTGTCTATAGAACAAGGAGCATAACGACCCTGAGATGGAAGCACTCCAAATGTGGCAAGGAGGCTGGAGCACAGTAAAGCAACCATAGCACAGAGGGTGGGCAGAGAGATAGCAGAGGAAAAACTTGAACTGGGGGAGGCAGTCCCACGTGTGGAAATGGGCTCCAGGCAGAGGGAGTCAAAAGAGCTCCTTTCTTAGGGAAAACTTCATTGATGAAATGAGTTATAAGCTGAAAAACCAAGGGTGCATAAGAATGAATGGACCAGAATGGGGATAGGCAGGAAAGGACTTTGCTGAAGATCCCCATTCCACAGGCAATACCCAGGCTGAGCTTGGCTACTGACTAGCCCTGTGACCTTGAAAAATAGAACCCTCCTAGAACTCAGTTTATGCATTGATAAAATGGGTACAATAACAATGTCTCAGTGGGTTTTTGCAAGGAGGGAAAGAACGTATGCACGTTAGCCTGTCTTATCAACATTCTCACAGGACTTTGGGGCATAAGCTCAAGGCAGACCTTGCATGTCTCATGAAGTAAGAGAGAAGAGCCACCTCTGGCACATTTAAGAGTATGTTTCTGTAAAGAGGAGAAAAAAAAATGGAAGTGGGGGGATACAGGGAGATATGAGGTTAAGAAAGGTGTCCCTTGTGTTTGCTTGTTTGTAGCAGATGGGATATATGATGGCATACTGGTGTCCGGTTTGGAAAGACCTAGTAAATAGGGGACATTCTATGTTAGAGGAGAGGTAGGAATTGACTGCAGCCCAAAGCCTCGAGTAGGTGAGAGGTGCGGCTCTGAGGCATGTGCAAAGGAAACAACCTGTGTTTGGATGAGTGGGTGGCAAGAGTATGTGGAAGGCCTGTTCTGAGTCTCTTTGGCTACCAGCATTGATTTCTCTTCACCTAGCAAAACAACCAAAACCTAATTTTCAAAGGATCTTTACTTTTTTGTTTCCTAGAATCCTGAAGGCAGAGGGAGTCCCTATCTAAATGACTGTCATCTCTATCCTATCTATGTAGAATCTGATGACACTTTCTCCTATCCAAGGTCCCATGTTTCATTTACCCTCCTTTGATAATGGATACGCCAACCAGTCTCCATCCTTGTCAGTAAGTCTCGAGACCTGTAGCCATGTTGAGCTTGAATGATAATCTGCAGTACTTTGGGAATCTGGCAGCATCTCAGCAATGTTCCCTGTTAGGCGAGTGCTTCTCAAAGTATGGTCCTCAGAGCGGCAGCAGAAGCACTGGATACCTTTGTAGAATGACAAATTATCGGGTCCCATCGCAGAGCTGCTGAATCAGAAACCCTGGATATGGAAAACAGCACTTTGTGTTTTTTAAAACACAGATGACTCAGAGCCACATTCTGGGGGTAAGAAATGCTGTTTTGGGCTGGGGGAGAGACAAAATAATTCATCTAAGGAGAATAAATAAAACCCATCTTTTTTCAGGTAACTGACATCCCCCCAACCCCCAAACACTAATTCAGAAAATATACACACCATATATAGAGTCACAATAGAAAATTTAGAAACTGAGTAAATTAGAAAAAGTGTTAAAGGTCAGTCAGGGTCCCATCGCTCAAATACAACCAGCTTTAATCTTTTGTTCTTTTATTTCTAAAGACAACAATGTGTTCTTTGCTGTTATCGTGCTTGCAGCTGAGGCTGGCTACTTTCGCTGGTGAACTGAAGGCACTTACCATATTGGAATTAGCCTGAAGCTTCGGGAACCATTCATATTTTTGTTCAGCAAAATGCACTTTGCTTACGGCTTGCTTTTCTTGAAGATGTGTATCTCTCTGTGGCCAGACAGACGCTATTTCCCTGTTTTCTATGGGCATCCTTAAATTATTTATGCAGTCAATAAACATCTTATAAGTAACTACTCATTCGGGCTGAATTGATGTTTGTGCTAACTAGAAAAGAATGTTGGTTCTGGCACTTTGTTACCTTTGCACCTTATAAATAGAAGGGATTTAGTAAAGAAGCATGGATGTTAGGGACTCCCTGAAGCTTTTTGCAAGAGAGTTATGAAGGGGAGGGAACCCAGAGCCAGGAACTAATTAGCACATTGACTGCCAATTCAGGCACTCTTGGGCCTGACTAGGAGGTGGGAGGCGGGGTGGGTGGAGACTTGCAAATGTGTCTATCATATTAGCCTTCTCACTCATTTATTAATTCTTGCCAGTGCATTTCTTCCTTTCTATTCTTCCATTTCTCAGCAGTACCTGCTTCTATACTTCTCTGTTTTCTTTTCCTCTTCCAATTTATCTTTCTGTATCCCTACTCTTCCATAACTATTTCATCTATTCAATATAGAAAACACAATAAATATCTCTACATCATTTCTGCACCATCTTTCTTCTTTGCCTTACCAAAGAAAAAAAAGTCTATTTTGCATTCACATTTTGTTTTCTTTTACCTCCTTGTAGGCAAAGACTGCATGCTTTTAGATTAGCTTGTTTAAAGGATTTTCTTAAAAATCCTTTAGAATGTTCACAACAAAAGACAGTCTATTTTCTTTTACGTTAGTGATTTTATCAAGTAAGATTTATAAAAGAACAACACAGAACTCACAAAAAAAGTATTTTTTTAAAAAATTTGCATCTCTGAATCTAAACATGCTTACACCTACTCACCTGTGGTAGATACAAGGCAGGAAAGCAAACAGCAAAAGGATGGTATGTAGAGAGAAAGACCCCATTTGTTAACACACATTCTGCTGTAGTATCCCATAACAGGTAAATGCATATGCATATTTTAAATCCTGTTAATTACTTAATGTGAACTGAAAGAAATAGGTTTTTATCTTAGTTGTGTTTTCATTCACCTTTTCAGTGATTTTAGAGGCTTACTTGTAATCCTTACCTTTTCATGAAATGATCCAGTAGTTTAATAGTATTATGTTTTTTCAGTCTAAATTTTGTCTGCTTTTAAGAAATAAAATATTTATATTTGTTAAATATAGAATCAACAATTATTTTTCTAGTAAATTCTAAGAAAAGATACTACCTTGGGTGGGTAAAATAATGTCATCAGTTAGGCACTTTTTTGCTACTTTTACTATTCTCATTCCTTCTCTGCTAAGATGAACTGCCCTAAAATTAAATACAGTATGTTAATCTGGTATCAATAAAGTTATGCAGGCATTAGCAGAAAACTATATTAATTCATTGTGTCACAGGAATGCTTTTAGGCATTCTTTTCAGCCCAGGCAGTCAATGCAGCAGGTGGTCTGCCTTGCTCATTTCCTTTGTTATCACCTTGCTCTCTGGTCCCAGATCAGGCTAATCAAGGTCAAATGCCTTGATGTCCTAGTTCTGGCTTTCGTTTATTTACCAAGGATAGAGTAGAGAATGGCTGAGTGAAAGGGCTATGACCAATCTTCTGTACATACTTTAATTGTTCTCAATCTGTGATCCTATCAAAGGCATATTTTATCCTAGTAGTGCATTATTATTTGAATATGTTTATACATATTAAAGTGTTTTACCAATAAAATGATCACAACTTGGTGCTAACATATTTTGTTCAGTGCTGCAAGTTGGTAATACTAATGTAATAATATGTAATAATATTCTTGTCACACATCTGCATGCCCCAAATAGCATGTATCTGTGTGTGCCTGTGTGTATGAGTGTGTGTGTGTGTGTGTGTGTGTGTGTGTGTGGAGGGAAAGATACAACACTGGATACTTGAACCAATTCATAAGGAATTCAATGGTCTAGCAGTAAATTGGGACACTCAGGGGAGCAATTTGGAAGAAGTACTTAAGATTAAACACTTAGTACTTAACACAACTGTTTTACTGACTAACAGATCATTACCTAGTGGTTGACAAAGTATTTTCACAGCTATACCTGTCAGTCAATTCTACCAGCTCACTTTTTAATTAGCAAATCTTGAAACCACAACCAATTAGGGGTGGAATGGCAAGCAAATGGTAAATTCCATTTTGTTCTCTTTATTGTCTTTAAACTGTTCTACAGTACTTATTTTCTAAGATAATGATGATGAAATAAAAGAATAAGCAACTTTTTGTTTAGAAAATTAATTCATAACTTACTTTATCACTAGTAAATATAGAAATACTTTATGTATGTGTATGTTTGTTGTGTGTGAATGTGTATAACCATGCCATTTATTCTTGATATCAAAGTAGAATATTTTTCCATGGTAAAGGAAGGTTATAGTATCAGTAAGATTTAAGAGATAGATATTAAGATTAACTAAACAACGTAGCCACAAAGGGGTCTTGATATTTCCTCTTCTGAAATAATAATACTATTGTAAATGTGCTTTTTAATTTTTTAACGTTTCCCTTCGTGCCCTTTAACTAGGTGACTACTGAATAAGTGTATACATAAAATGTGAGTAAAATTTCTACTTTATACTTATCTTAAGGTTGGAAAAGCAGGGAAGTAAAGAAGTGCTGCAAATTTGAAATTCTTCTTTCTGGGAATATTATCTACTCTTTATTAGATGGATCTCTGGTAGGGACTGAGATCCTGAACTGATTTCTCTAAATTCTCGGTGCAAGGAATCTTTAGCTGAATGGTCAAAGATGAATGAGAAAATTCAATGTTTGCCTCAGAATGAGCAGATCTAATTGTCACTGCATACATAAATCTCAGCCACCTAAATTTATTTATAAATTTGAGGACTCCCTTAGAAACACTGTCCAAATCTCAGCTAGATATGTGACATGATCTTGCACTATATCCAGGAGGGTAAAAGGACAAAATTTGGGTTAGAGGCAAGTCTAGTTTTATAACTCTCTAACTAATTAAATACCTGTACCAAAACTAAGATAAAAATTATATTTCAATTAGGAACTAAGGAGGCCTTACCACTTGACTCTGTGCTGCTGAATATGTTTTATCAATGATTTCTCTAGAGATGAAAATGCATGCTTATCTAATAAAATTTGGGAATGATAGAAAGGGCCAACCACTATGTAGAAAGACAGACTTAAAAAATTGTTTAAAGATCCAGCATGATTAATTTTTAAATGTTAAAAATGCAAAGTCCTAAATTAGGTGAGAAAAATGATATGTACTAATAGAGAGCAGGAAATGTCTTCTCTGATAAGAACTTATGAAAACATTATCCAGAGTCTTCAGGACTGAAGTGTTAGCTTCCGTAGCTACCTCTGGAGTATTCTTACACAAGACTCAGACATGCAGCAGCCAGTAGCATGGATTTGGCCTCTCCAGAAGAAATTTCTCTCTGGGATAAGAAATGAGAGGAGAGAGAAAATCAAGTTACACAGAGATGTTGAGAAGAACAGGAGAGTGTTAAAGGTGCTTCTATCAGAAGGCATCTATTGTTGCAGTGAGATAAGACTGTAGTTAATCTAACAACAAATATAATCAAATCAAATTGTATTTAATATTTTAAAAGTCAATTGTTCTATTTATTTTATACCAAGAAAGCAAAACAAAATGGGATGTAATGATACAGAAGCATCGTCTCTGAAATTTGCTTTTCAAATATTGAGATGGCTTATTTCAACTCTTTGTTTACTGCCATTGGTTATTTATTTCTTATTATGATTCCATAAAATAAATGTGGATGGATTTGTAATATAGGTGAGAAAATATGCAGAGAGAACTCTCTATTCTCATCATATCAGCCAAATCCAAGTTTTTTTCCACAGTCTATTTCAGTTTGATGGTGGGATTTCTATTTACCCCATTTGTTTCCTACTCTCATGGGCAGGATCCCAAATTTTATTTGGTCCACAGTGTAACTAGGTTAGATGATGGGAGGATGGAGGATATTACCACAGAGCTGTCATGAGTATCTTTACATTCCTGTTTCTGGAGAATTAATCCATAATTGCCTTAAAATTATAAAAGCAATTACATTGCCATTAAAGTGTCTATTGATGAAACAACCTGTAGAAACAATAAAAATAATATGATCCAAGAACAATTTCTTGACTGACTCAAAAAGATATTTTTCAAAAAATTAAGAACACAAATAAGCTGATTATTAACTTTTTCCTCAACTGAGGGTAAACATAAGGCTGCTGCTGGTGGTGTTGCCTTTTTAGGTTCAAAGGTGATCCTGTGAGCAGCGATTTCCAATGTGGATAAATACAGCTGAAGAGACTGATGTGTGACCTTTACTTTCCAAATCAAGTGCGTGTGTAATCTGCCCACGGTTAATGCCTGCATCCATATTCAGGAGAGACATCGACTCCCCTTGGCCCTGGCCCTGGGCCTAAGTGTTTCTATGAATACTGAGCCGGCAACCCACAAAGGCTTTGAAACAAGCCAGCTCACAGAGCTGCACTCAACTTCCCCAGTAAAAACACAATCTGTCAACATGCTTTAAAAAATACTTTTCATTGCCTTCCTCAGATCATCATCGTCCTGGTTTGGACAGCAGCATTTCAAGCAAAGTGCTTTTGTTCTCTTTAGAATGATAATGCTCTCTGCAAATGCTTATCAATTATTGACAGCTTTTGTTATATTCTTAGAAGTAATGCCACAATAAGCAGTGTTACTAACTTATGACATCCCTTTTCATTACCAATGATTGAATGATTCCCACACATTTTAAACTCCAAATAAGGAGGTGGGGTAGGGGGCTGCAAAAAGAAAGACAACCCACATACAGATTTCACCTCACTAACGACTTAATTGGCATCACCCCTGGGGTGAAATGTTGTAACACCCTACAACCCTTTATGACAGGAAGTGAAAATTCCATATCCAATTGGAGCTACAGGGATAATTTAGGGAGGCAGAATGCAATTATCCAATTAGGAATTTAGCCAGAACAGAAAGGTTAATCCCCCTTAGTCCTTTCAAAAGAGCCCATGGGATCTTTAATGACGACAAGGGGTCAGGACCTGTGTTTTACAACTCAAGCCAAAAAATTATTCAGACTTCTCTGTTACTTTCTGAAAAACAGGGAGGCTCAATCTACCAAATTTCAAAAGAAATATTCTCCAATATCAGAACTTTTCAGAATTTGCAGATTTCCCGTATTATCCACTCTAGGTTATGAAACCACAGTATAAGTTGGTTTAGCTTGAAAAGCAAGTTTAGTATTTGGCTAACAATGATTCTGTGGCATGGGATGCTTTCCTGCACAGAAGACAGAGAATGGCATGGAGTTGGATGCTGACTCAGAGGTTTGGAATGCGCCATTGATGCCTGGCTGGGCTCCAGCTTTTGGCTTAGAATCTGCCAACTTGGCAGGCTGGGGAATTTGCTGTGGCAATTTTTCAAAATGGGAAGAATCAGTCCAAGGAGAGATTGTTTCTACATTTTAACTACCAGGACAAGTGACAGGGTCCTCTCTAACAAACAGTCTGGCCCAAGACAGAAAGAGAGGTTAGGCTCAAAGGAGAACCGACAGCCTATTTGCAAGAACCTCTTGTACAAGTAATACACCTTTTGGGCATTCATTCCAAAGTTCCAGCCAAAGGAAATATGAATTACAAATTTCAGTCTGGGAGGCACAGAACACAGACCTGCCGGATGCAACAACAAATGGTACTTTTCAGGTCTTCCTATTAGACAGACAGTTATGTCATGGATATTTAGAAGTGAAGCAATTTTTCTTTGGATGTCAGCCAATACAGGATCATTAAACAGAGCTTTTTGGATTCTCAAGTCTAATATGTCTATAGAGAGGGAGAGAAAAAAAAGTTTTCAGTTAGTAACCAACTATAGCTTTGCCATATTACTCTTTTAATTCTTCAGCCTTTAATTCCCTTGATAAATTCCAACTGACACAAATATTTTGATGAAACTTGTAGAATGTCCTCAAATATTGTTTAATTTTCTACAAATTTCAATTTGTCCCAATGATCTACAGAATAATTTTCTTATAAAACCTAAAAAGATAACTTGTAAATAATGTAGGCAATGTATCAAAGCAGGAAGTAGAGGACTTTAGTTAGCTTTTGTGAATCAATAGAAATTAATACAACCATATCAGTGTGTAATGCAATCAGGTTACAGCACTGCTACTTACACATCAGATTGAAATTGATATTGAATTAGCATTAGAAAATGCTTCAATCTCTGTCTTCATCAGAACTTTTAAAAATTTTATCTCACCTTATAGACAATATTGTTGATTTTGGTTTTTAATTAAGTTTTCCGAGAAGGCAAACATTTTATGTGTGGTAATTTAAAAACACCTAAACAATGATTTCTAAAGAAAATGAATAAATATTCTGTATACATTTGGAAAGCAAGTTTCTGCTCCTTGTACAATATTACATATTGCATGGTTAAATTTACATTGAAAATAAAATGATAAAATATTATTAACTAAAAGAATAAAATAAATAAGTAACCTGAGATGCCCGATAATATTAGTTCCTTTAGAGTGCTTTTGTTTTCTCTTAAAATATTTAATTTTATAGAACCTAATGATATCCGAGGAGTCAAAATCTAACATCCATATGCAATTCCAGCATATGTAGGCAAATCTTTTCTAAAATAGTTGAGTTATTGCATTATCTGTTGTTAAAGTGGATTTATTCTACTCTGCTACTTTCAAGAAGATGACCATCTACATCATTTTATGGTTTCAAAACAAATGTTCACTATTTTTTTCGATTTTATTGGATGAGGGAAGGGAAGATAGTTTTCTAATGACAATGATATCTAAGATGTCGAGGATACAAGTTTTAGAATGTAGATTTTTCGCCCTAGTTAAGAAGGCTTTATCCAAAAGAAAGGCAGTAACAAATACTGACAAAGATATGGAGAAAAGGGAACGCTTCTACACTATTGGTGAGAGTGTAAATTAGTACAACCACTATTGAAAACAGTTGGGAGGTTTCTCAAAAAACTAAAAATAGAGCTACCACATGATCTAGTAATCTTACTACTAAATATATACCCCCAAAGAAAGGAAATCAGTATATCGAAGAGATATCTGCACTCCCATGTTTATTGCAGCACCATTCACAATACCCAAAAGTTGAAAGCAACCTAAATATCCATCAATAGATGAATGGGTAAAGAGAATGTGGTACATATACACAATGGAGTACTATTCAGCCATAGAAAGAATGAGATCCTGTCATTTGTAACAACATGGATGGAACTGGGCATCATTATGTTAAGTGAAATAAGCCAGGCACAGAAATGTAAACTTCACATGTTCTCACTTATTTGCAATTGAACTAATGGAGATAGACAATAGAAGGATGGTTACCAGAGACTAGGAAGGGTAGTGGCAGGGGGTGGAAAGAGGGGATGGTTAATGAATACAAAAATATAATTAGATGGAATTAATAGCATCTAGTATTTGATAGCACTACAGGGTGACTACAGTTAACAGTAATTTATTGTGTATTTTTAAATAACTAAAAGAGTATAATTGGGTTGTTCGTAACACAAAGAAAAGATAAATACTGGAGGTGATTAATACCCCATTTACTCAAATATAATTTTTTGGCATTGTATGCCTATATCCAAATACTTTATGTACCCCATAAATATATACACCAACTATGTATCCCCAAACATTAAAAATGGAAAAAAATATAGATTTTATAATTATTGAGGTATAACGAGACCAACAGATCAGGAGGTGATTGCCACTGAAAAGCTAGTTTATTACTCACAGCTTGCAGGAGGAGGGGGCACATCATATATGTCCACTGGGAGAATCACCAGGATCCTTCAGGGGTCGGGAGTTGCAAGGAGGGCAAAACACAAGCAAGAGCCTTTGTTGCAGTTTCTCTGGAAAGGAATAGAGGAGGCAAGGAAAGCAGGCTAAGGATTAGCTAGTTGAATAATTTCAGCAGGCTCTGGTTAACAGAGGTGTCCCTAATTGTCAAGTACCTAGCCCTGGGGTGGTTAGGGCAGAGGAATAGAGCCCCAGAGCGGGAGAGCCCCGTAGAAGAGGTGGTTGGGGATATGGACTCTGAATTTGTCGGTTTGCATTTGAAAGGCACACTCACAGGGGTGTAATTTACTGTCTCTAGAAATTGACTAGCCCTGGGAGGGACCATCTCTCCAGGATCTGCAAGTCTCCTGTTTCAAAAGCATCAGAAATACAGAAACTAAAAGAACGTGATTAATACAATGGACTTTTTCATTTTGTTTTAAGGAAGTGTGGCAATCAAAATCTTTTTCAGTTTGCCCAGTATGTACTCATTTTCTTTAATGCATGTCCATTTTCTGTTGATTGAGCGATAAGTGTAAAAATTGTTTAACATCTGCTTATGTAATGAAGTCACCCTTCATTGGAATATCTTTTCTTTGGAGTTAACCAGACCCCAAATCAAATCCCACCTTTGCCCATTTTTGTTTGGGTAATTATGCATAAATTGCTTGTCCAAGCCACACTTTCTTCATTTGTTAAAAAAAAAAAAAATACTTTATCTCTTGATTTGAGGATAAAATGTGAAAATGCCTGTATAGTGCCCAGAGCTCAGAAAGTGCTCAATGAAAATTCTTACTCTAATTATTCTTTATAAATTGCTAAATTGAAGCCACTAAGATTCTAAGTAGCCAATAAGATTGCTTTTAGCTTATTCATATCTGTTCCTTTATATTTCCCTAGAGTTGCACTAACCATTTTATAGGAAAACCTTACTATATCAGATATTAACGGGCCCAGTTAACGACAGGCACACCTTAACTGCTAGAAACCACCTTTACCATTGGATGGTGGACCTCTATAGAAAACAGGGGCCAACATCACTGATTATTAGAGAAATGTAAATCAGAACTGCTGTGAGATACCATCTCATGCCCATCAGAATGGTGATTATTAAAAAGTCAAGAAACAGCAGATGCTGCTGAGGCTGTGGAGAAATAGGAATGCTTTCATACTGTTGGTGGGTGTATTAGTCTGTCTGTTTTCACACTGTAGATAAAGACATACCTGAGACTGGGTAATTTATAAAGAAAAAGAGGTTTAATGGACTCACAGTGCCACATGGTTGGGGAGGCCTCACAATCATGGCAGAAGGTGAAAGACCTGTCTTACATGGCGGCAGGCAAAAGGGCTTATACAGAGGAACTCCCATTTATAAAACCATCAGATCTCATGAGACTTATTCACCACCATGAGAACGGTATGGGGTAAATCACCACCACGATCCTATTGTCTCCTACTGGGTCCCTCCCATGACATGTGGGAATTATGGAAGCTACAATTCAAGATGATATTTGGGTGGCAACATAGCCATACCATATCATTCTGCCCCCAGCCCCTCCCAAATCTCAAGTCCTCACATATCATAACCAGTTATGCCTTCCTAGCAGTTCCTCGAAGTCTTAACTAATTTCAGCATTAACTCAAAAGTCCACAGTCCAAAGTCTCATCTGAGACAAGACAAGACCTATGAGCCTGTATGTAAAATCAAAAGCAAATTAACTACTTCTTAAAGTGGGGATACAGGCATTGGGTAAATAGACCCATTCCAAATGTGAGAAATTGGCCAAAACAAAGGGGCTACAGACCCCATGCAAGGCCAAAATCTAGCAGGGCAGCCAAATCTTAAAGTTCTAAAATGATTTCCTTTGACTCCATGTTTTACATCCAGGTCATACTGATGCAAGAGGGGGCCTGCCATTTGCCATGGCTTTGGGCAGCTCCACCCCTATGTCTTTGCAGGGTACAGGTCCCCTCCTAGCTGCTTTCACCAGCTGGCATTGAGTGTCTGCAGCTTTTCTAGGTGCACAGAGCAAGCTGTCCATGGCTCTACCATGCCATTCTGGTGTCTGGAGGACAGTGGCCCTCTTCTCATAGCTCCACTTGGCAGTGCCCCAATGTTCACTCTGTGTGGGGGTTCCAATCCAGCATTTCTTTTACTCACTGCCCTAGCAGAGGTTCTCCATGAAGCCCCACCCCTGCAGCAAACTTCTGCTTGGACATCCAGGCATTTCCATACATACTCTGACATCTAGGCTGAGGTCCTCAAACCTCAATTCTTGACTTCTGTGCACCCACAGGATCAACATCACATGAAAGTTGCCAAGACTTGGGACTTGTGCCCTCTGAAGCCATTGTCCAACCTGTATAGCCCTTTTTAGCCATAGCTGGAGCAGCTAGGATGCAGGGCACCAAGTCCCTAGGCTCCACACAGCAGGGTGGCCCTGGGCCTAGCCCACCAAACCATTTTTTTCTTCCTCAGCCTCTGGACCTGTGATGGGAGGGGCTGCTGCAAAGGTCTCTGACATGCCCTGGAGACAATTTCTGCATTGTCTTGGTGTTTGGCTCCTCGTTACTTATGCAAATTTCTGCAGCAGGCTTGAATTTCTCCACAGAAAATGGGTTTTTCTTTTCTATTGCATTGTTAGGGTGCAAATTTTTCAAGCTTTTATGCTCTACTTCCTCTTGAACACTTTGCTGCTTTGAAATTTCTTCTACCAGATACCCTAAATCATCTTTCTCAAGTTTAAAGTTCCACAGATCTGTAGGGCAGGAGTAAAATGCCACCAGTCTCTTTGCATAGCAACAGTGACCTTGGTGGGGGGTGGTGGCTCACACCTGTAATCCTAGCACTTTGGGAGGCCAAGGTGGGTGGATCACCTGAGGTCGGGAGTTTGAGATCTGCCTGGCCAACATGGTGAAACCCCGTCTCTACTAAAAATGCAAAAATTAGCTGGGCGTGGTGGCACATGACTTTAATCCCAGCTTTTCGGGAGGCTGAGGCAGGAGAGTTGCTTGAACCTGGGAGGCGGAGGTTGCAATGAGTCAAGATCACTCCACTGCACTCCAGCCTGGGAGACTGAACAAGACTCCATCCCCTCCACCAAAAAAAAGAGTGACCTTTACTCCAGTTCCCAACAAGTTCCTCATCTCCATCTGAGACCACCTCAGCCTGGACCTTACTGTCCATATCACTATCAGCCTTTTGGTCAAAGCCATTTAACAAGTCTATAGGAAGTTCCAAACTTTCTCACATCTTCCTGTCTTCTTCTGAGCCCTCCAAACTCTTCCAACCTCTGCCAGACCCAGTCCCAAAGTTGCTTCCACACTTTCAGGTCTCTACAGCAGCTCCCCACAGTACTGGTACCAATTTGCTGTCTTAGTCCATTTTCATGCTGCTGATAAAGACATACTTGAGACTTGTTAATTTATAAGGAAAAAGAGGTTTAATGGACTGAGTTCCACATGGCTGAGAGGCCCCTCAATAATTCCAGAAAACGAAAGGCACATCTTACATGGCTGCACAGGAGAACTCCCATTTATAAAACCGTCAGCTCCCCTGAGACTTATTTACTAGCATGAGAACATTATGGGGGAAACTGCCTCATGATTCAATTTTCTCTCACTGGGTCTCTCTCACAACACATGGGTATAATGGGAGCTACAATTCAAGATGAGATTTGGGTGGGGACACAGCCAAGCCATATCAGTGGGAATGTAGGTTTGTCCCACCATTGTGGAAGACAGTGTGGTAATTCTTCAAAACCTAGAATCAGAAATACCATTTGACCCAGCAATTCCATTACTGCATATATACACAAAGGAATATAAATCATTCTATTAAAAAGATACTTGCATGTGTATGTTCTATACACCACTATTCTCAATAGCAAAGACATGGAATCAACCCAAATGCCCATCAATGATACACTGGATAAAGAGTATGTGGTGTATATATGTATACATATATATATACATATATATACACACACACATATATATATATACACACACACTATGGAACACTATGCAGCCATAAAAAGGAATGAGATCACATCCTTTGCAGGGACATGGATGGAGCTGGAGGCCATTATCCTCAGCACACTAACACAGGAAACAGAAAACTAAACACTGCATGTTCTCATTTATAAGTGGGAGCTGAACAATGAGAACACATGAACACATGGGGAAGGAACAACACACGCTGGGACCTGTAGGGTAGGAGGAGGGGAGGGAGAGCATCAGGATAAATAGCTAATGCATGTGGGGTTTAATATCTAGGTGATGGGTTAATAGGTGCACCAAACCACTGTGGAACACGTTTACCTATGTAACAAACCTCTACATCTTACACATGTATCCCAGAACTTAAAATAAAATAAATTTTAAAAAAAGAAAATAAGGGCCAGAAAGTCTTGTATGAATGCAGAAAAGAACGCTGGGGGTGTATAGCAAAAGGATTATGTGGCAACTAGTAGGAAGTGGACTGAGAGGCTAGGTAAACTCATAGTCATCATAAAAGACTGTCTAACGAGAGTGAGCCAAGTTGTTCAAAGCACTTAGGAACAAAAACATAGTAACTTCTTTATCTATACTCATCAAATTAAATAAGATTAGTTAATAAATTTGTAAAACTCTCTTGATAATATCATTTTTATTTTCTTAAACATAGTTATGCTTACATATTTTTAAAAGTATATGTTAAAAAGAATTATTTTATAATACAATATTTAAAGGTAAAATTTAAGTAATTTTTTTACTTCCTCCTTTATTTAAAGAATAGAAACTTCAAATACAGAAATACAAGTATGTCTTTCAGAATCAGAATTGGGATAAGTGGAAGATCTTATTCTCAACCGTTTCATATAGAGTTACAACATTTAGATTCTTAATTAGTTTTCTCAACCTTCCATATTCGTCCCCAATCCTGAACTGATCTATATCTGACTTCAGCATTTCATCACAGGTCACATCAAGTTTCTGCTGTGTAAAACTCTGCTCTCTTACAGAAGGAGAGGTCCTAGCTATAACTATTTTCTCAAATTTCTCTCAGAATGGCACCTCCAGAAAAAAAAAATCATCATTTTTCTCTAAGTATTGAAAACTCTATAGTACCATGAAATAGGACCTTCTACGGTTTAAAATAAATGTTTGTTTTTTTCTAGCCCTGTAGGTCAATGAATGCCTGACTCCAGTGACAGACCATAATTATCCAAATCTCTCATTTATGAATATGGAATATAAATATGCTAAATTGATTATGTCATGAATAGACTTCTTTTTTGCATAACAATGTTTGGAGTTTCTCACCTTTCTCCTCGCCTTCTTTTTCTTCCTTAAATGTAGCCTGGAGGTTTCCTATCTATTCCATATAACTAAGAGTAATCGTTTATTTAGGAAAGGGTCTCATGTGGTCTAAGATTAGCAATGGCAGATGTGAAGAAAATGAAGAAGAATGGAAGGGAATATAGATGCACTTCCTCACGCTTTCCAAGACCCTGCAGTGGGGAAGGTCCAAGTAACCAGTTCTGTGACGTGTGCCATTTCCTAGTTAAGTCAATATCAACTCTGAATGATTCTCGAAAAGCACATGTTGAAGTGGTACAGACAAAAATGAAAGCCTGAAAAGATTTCCACATCACTGTCAAATAATAATTAAAAAAAACACTTCTGCAGAAAAACAGTTTATTCAGGTTCTTTCTATGAATGAAAAATGTACTTATATACTTTTATTAAATCTCTGAGATTTGGGAAAATTGTTTGTTTACACAGATAGGCCTAATTACCCAATTATTGAAACTATCAACACCTCATCCTCAAGTATCATTAGAGAAGGTAGGGTATAAATATTTTCCATCTGTCTGGCACCACGAATTGGAGTTCTGGATATCTTCTTCTAAGAGCATCTTTTCCCAAGAGAATATGCCAATACCATTTCACTTCCAATATATGGAGGTGGACAAAAGCCTTACTCTCCCTTAAGTCCCCAGCACCCAATAGAGCATCCCAAATATTCACTAAAAAAAAAAAAAAAAAAAAAAAATGTATCTAACCATTCTGTTTTAAGACAAAATGTACCTCAGTTTTGCAAACATATCAAATAAACACTGGTATTAATGAGCGGCAGCTACACTGAAGAATAGATTTTAGTTACATACCCTGGAAGGTACACTTTCCCTAACTATTTAATGGAATTAAAAATTGAAGCCACTGGCACATGACTATTACTTTGTTAGCAGGTTCCTAACTATGGATTCAAATTCTTTCATGCACATAAGATTGTTGCAATTTCTAATTTCCTCTTCTGTCAGCTTTGAAAATAAAACTCTTTATATCTTGCCTTGGTCTATAATTATTTAAATCAATTTCTAAATTCAGTGATATAAAGTCTTGCAAAATATAACTTAACAATCTTTTAATATCTGTAAAATTATTGAGATGTCGTCATTTTATTGCTGATGTTACTTATTTGTAACATTGCTTTTTCTTGCTAGAAGTTTATCAATTTTTGGACAGTATTGAGTTTCTATAAGACATGATGGCTTTGTATTTCATTAAATTCTGCTCTTAATTACTATTTTTTATTTTACTCTACTAGTTTAATTTGCTGTTCTTATTCAAGATGTATGTTTTCAGCTTTTCTCCTTATAATTCATTCATATGTAAATATAGCTTAGGCTGCATCATAAGTTTGAAAGTTTTTGATATTACTTAGTTCTAAGTATTTTATAATTTTCATTATATGGAATTCCAGATTATGATTTCTTCCTTGACTTTTGCCTAATTTCATAACATTGGCATTTTCTAGTTATTTTTATATTGGTTTCCAGTTTAATATTTTAATGTCCAGAGAATATAACCTGTATGATTTTAATCTTTAAAATCTGTTTAGATTTGCATTGTGGACTAGCAAATGATCAATTTTATGTGTTTTGTGTTTTCTGAAATTTAGAGACATAATTCCACATATGTTAACGGGTTCGTGCTTTGTAATGATATTATTGAAATCCATATTTCCAATGACATTTTCTCTGCAATTCTTTGTAAGTATATTAAACATTTCTCATTATGTTATAGTTTACTTTGTTTTACATTTGTAAATTTTTGCTTGGCATGTGTTGAGGTTGGGTTAGTTTGAGCTAAACATGTAGTTTGAATTCTGATATTTTTCTGATAAATTGAAATTCTGTCATTATTAAATGCTCCCCTTTATCTTTGGTAATGCGTTTTGCATCATAGCATACTTTGACTCAAATAAATCTACATATATCAGCTTTCAGTGATTCCATATTATACTATCAATACCTCCACTATTTTTCAATTCTTAGGCTGAAAATGATGTTTGCAAAGGTCATATGAGTTGAATCTTTATACCTTCTTTTTTTCTAAAGTCCAATCTGCTATTCCTTGTATTTTTTCTGTTGAATTTCTAGTTGTTTTACTTAATGGAATTATTGATGTGTTTGAAATTGATTTGCCACATTTCTATATTTCTATTCTCCCATCCCTCCACGATCTGTTCCATTTTGTTGTATTTGTTTGAATTGCTGAAGTTTTTTTGTTTGTTTGTTTTGGTTTGGTTTGGTTTTTTGAGATGGAGTCTCACTCTCTCGCCCAGGCTGGAGTTCAGTGGCGCGATCTAGGCTCACTGCAACCTCCGCTCCCCGGGTTCACGCAATTCTCCTGCCTCAGCCTCCCGAGTAGCTGGGATTACAGATGTACGCCACCATGCCCTCATAATTTTTGTATTTTTATTAGAGACGGGGTTTCACCATGTTGGCCAGGCTGGTCTCAAAATCCCAACCTCAAGCTATCCACCCGCCTCAACCTCCACAGCTGCTGGGATTACAGGTGTGAGCCACTGCACCAGGCCAAAGTTTTAAAAAAATGATTCCACATCCCTTTTATTAGTTTATTAATAACTACATATACTATTCTTTTAATAGTTTATCTTCCTAGAGCCTAGTTATAATATGCATTATTACTTATTAAAATCTACCATGAATTGTTTTACTACTTTTTGTACAAGAAAAGATCTTAATACTTTTTCATTTTAACTACTTCCTGATATGTATGCTGTGTTGTTCTCTATCATGTTATTTTTGACATTATGATTGTCTACAACAGATAGTTTCATTTAGATTAAGCCGCATACCTTTAGTCTTCCTACCTCTCTGAACTTTCCTATTGGATCATCTTCCTTTTTGCTGAAGATGACCTTTAGAGAGGCTGTGCTCGTGACAAATCATTTCCATTTTAGTTTGTCTGAAAATGTTTTTATTTTACTTCCAGTTTTAAATACTATTTTTTTGCTAAATATAGAATTCCAAGTTAAAATTTATTTTCCTTCTGCATGATAAAGGGAAGATAGTTGATATTCTTATTGTTGCTATATTGAAGGTAATATCCTGTGTTTCTCTTGCTGTGGTTAAAAATGTATTCTTTATCACTGATTTTCACAAATAAAAGATACAGAAAATTTATTTTTGTAAGTCTACTTGGGTTTTTTTTTGCACTTTTCTTGATTTATAATCGTTTATGAATTGAAAGCTTGAAGAATTCATCATTTCTGAAATTTGCTCAACAATTACAGTCTCAAATACTCTATCTGTCTCACTCTCCGCCTCTTCTGGACCCAAATTATATGTAGGTAGGAGCTTCTGACCATATCTCAATGTGTCTATTGCATAGTTTAATAAAATATTCTTAACTTTATTGTTGATTCCAGGTACATATTGTTTTACCTATCTGCCAACCAACTCTTCCTCTCTATTTATTTTGTAATTTTGGTTATTGCATATTTTAATTCTAGAATTTTTTCTTTTTCTATAATTTATACTCTGACAAAATTTTTGATGGTTTTAACATTTTATTTTATATATTAGTTTTAGTTGTTTTAAGGTCTCTAATCTTATTTCCTATTCTCGAACTCTGTGTCTGTTTCAATGGTTTGTTGTTTCACTTTAAGTCATGTCTTCTCTTATGTATGGTGATATTTTTATTGAGAGCTGGGCATTGCATATGATAATTTTTAGAGTTGATTAAAAGTTTTGGATAACACTATCTTTATGCAGAAATGATTGACTTTTGCCTAGAGTCAATAATATTTTCAGAGATCATTTTAATCCAATAGGGATTGAGATGTTTGGCAGCCAGACTTTCGTCACTGTAAGCTCTAGTCTCTTTCTGGGTTAGCCTTATTCCTAGGAACTAGTAGCACTTTCTGCTCAGTAAGTCTGGATTTCCAGCCTCTTTTGAAAGCTAGCTTCTATTTGTGTTCAGTCAATAAGAGATAGTGCAACATCAGAAGCATGGCAGACTAGAAGATTTTCTTATCTCTATCTTTCTCTGTTTGTGGCAGATTCGCTGGAAGTGGCTTCATTCGATTGTAAACTAAGCTATGTTCGGTAGCCCCCCTTGATCCTCTTGTTGGTCCCATCAATGGTTCCTCCATGGTTCCAGGCCAGCACGGTAGCCCTTCCTCCATTGTTCCATTCCTGTCCTAGGTGGTCGTGTCAACCACAGTGCTCCACATGCAAGGTCTAAGCATGTCTGTCCCTTTATCACATTCTGCAACTAGTATCAGTTGCACCAGCCCTGCTTCCTGGTTTCTGGGAGTAGAATCTGCTTGATGCTGTTATCTTTGCTCTAGACGCTCTGCTGCTAGTAATCTCTGAGTTACCGTATCTTTAAGCCCTTCCAACACTTAGCACCTAGTATAGTTTAAGTTTTGGGGACAGAACCTGAATGATAACACTTGGCAATATTCTACAGAACAATTAGTTTTGAGACTGGACTTGGAGGTTAATTGCTTAGAACACAAAAGCTTGAATTGTGTTTCTATCTTTGCACAGTAACAATGAGTTTACTTTTCTAAATACAGACAATGAATAGAAAATAGCTATGCTCAGAAAAGTGACACAAAAAGCAGGATTTACACAGGAATGGCTTGGACAGTCTTCCATACTGATATGGTTTGGCTGTGTCCCCACCCAAATCTCATCTTGAATTGTAGCTCCCATAATGCCCATGTGTTGTGGGAGGGACCCAGTGGAAGATAATTGAATCATGAGGGCTGTTTCCCCCACACTATTCTCATGACAGTGAATAAGACTTGTGAGATCTGATGGCTTTTTAAGGGGAAAGCCCTTTCGCTTGGCTCTCATTCTATCTCTTGTCTGCTGCCATGTAAGACATGCCTTTCACTTTCCACCATGACTGTGTGACCTCCCCAGCCACGTGGAACTGTGAGTCCATTAAACCTTTTTCTTTATAAATCATCCCATCTTGGGTATGTCTTTATCAGCAAGGTGAAAATAGACTAATACACCTATCTCTACAAATCTTATCCAGGTTCCTGATCAGCCTACAGGTTTCACCCGATATTCTTGATTTAAAAACAAAAACTGAGGCCAATGGGAATGAACTGCCTCAATGCCTGTGTGCATCAAATAACACTACTTCTTTGGGTATTCTGTATTCCAAGCCAACCATCCCATCTCTCTTATGATTCCTTTCTCCCCTCAAGCTTTTCAGAAAGTTTGCTTAATTGGCTCTTCTCAGCTATATTTATATCTCAGAGCTCTTAATATAGAAATGTGACAGGCAGAATGGCGCCCTCAAAGGGGTCCACACCATAATTTCCAGAACCTGTGAGTATATACCTTACATCACAAAAAAGACTTTGCAGATGGAATTGTAATTACAGAGTTTAAAATAGAGAAATCGTCCTGGATTAATCAGATGGGGCAAATCTAATCACATGAGCAGGAGGTATGAGGTGGAAGGGGAAAGTCAGAGAGATTCAAAACATGAGAGACACGTGACACACCTTTTCTGATTTGAAGATGAAAGGGAGAAAATGACAGGACATGCGTGTGACTTCAAGAAGGTGAGAGATTCTCAGCTGCCACGCAGTAGGGAAACAGGGATGTGAGTTTTAGAGCCACCAGAAATGGAATTCTGCCAACAATATCCAGCGGCTTGGATGCAGATTCTTCCCTGAACCTCCAAGAAGCAATACAGTTCTGACAACCCATTGATTTTGGCCTTGAGAGACCCTAAGCAGAGGTTCACTATATGGTGTTGTTTTTAGCCACTAAGTTTGCCACTAAATTTGATATAATTTGTTATGGCAGCAATAAGAAACCAACAGAATAAATGTGAACAATATCGCTATAAAAGGTTTACAATTTAAGACAAAACCTCTGCTAAACTCAGACCATTTAGCTACCTTCTGATTTTTCTCTTTCCTATTTTTTCCATCTTCTTTTAAGGTGGAAGACTAAGATCAGATTTTCAGCAGGTCTGCTTTCTCTTGAGGCCTCTCTTCTTGCATAACAATTTGTTTCTCACTTACATAGAATACATATATTCTCAACGGAATTTACTTAGCTTGTCAATTCAGATAGATTTTTTAATCAAATTTCATAAAAAAATCAAAATTATTCCGTATCAAAATTTGTTTAAAATGTATATGTGCACAATATGTAAATGGTGGCTAAGAGGTAAATTGGAAATTCTTGCTCAATATGGAGTATTTTTCAATATTTAAATAAATGCTTTGTTGTAAATATTATTATTGTGATTTGATGTAATTTTTATTGGATAGAAAGGCCAAATGGAAGAGATTTATCTTTGAGGTTTTGCCAATTAAAATCATCTGGTCTGGAGGGGTCTTTAGGCAAAGAGCTGGCAGTGAGATGAGGAAAAGTTTCTTTGAACCTGAAAAGGTTGAGCCCAAGTCACTAGGAGGTCTCTGCTGGCCTGCATTAAATTAGCTTCAATGAATGGAAGGAGAGGAGGCTACATAGCAACAGTGAGGAAGGAAAGGGAAGTGTATGGGCTAAATTGTGCATATTACCTCCAAAAAATATAGTAACTGTATTTGGAGACAGGAGGTAATCAAGTTTAAATGGGGTTGTGAGGGTGGAGCCTAGTTTAATGGGTTGTTGTCCTGAAAAGAAGAGGAAAAGACATCAGGGAAATGTGTGCACAGGAGAAGGGTCATGTGGGACACAGCAAGAAGGTGGCCATCCACCTTCTGGTTTGAAGATGAAAGGGAGAAAGGGAGAAAATGACAGGAAATGCATGGGACTTCAAGCAGAGCTTAAGCAGTAGCTAAAAACTGTAGAACTTCAGAGACTATATTCTATGACAACACGTGGAAACAGCAAGTAAGTGTGATATAGTCCAGGGTGGCACATGTTTAGAATATGAGAGAAGTGCTTTTTTTCCCCCATTCATATTTCAGAATGACCAGACAGAATGCTAGCAATGGAGTTACAAATTAAAAAATGGGCCTCCAACTACAATAAGCTAGCTCAGATTGGGAAACAACAAAAAGGATCAATGGATTACTTTTGTACAAATGTGGTGACATATTTAGCCATGATCACTCCTCCCAGGGTACAAAAAAAAATGAAATATGACTCACAAGGTTGCACTTAGGACTCATGCCTGCAAAAATTCCCAATGGGCATTAAATTTTTTTTTCAATGATAATGCTTAAAGATGCTATCTTCAGTTACTTAGAATATTTATTTTTATGAAAAAATCATTACTTTATGATAAAGAGTAATAGTGCCTCCATTAAGATAGAATAACAGTATTTATGGGGCATCTGCCCTTCAAAGTCTTCAATTCTTCTATCTTCCCTGTAGAGAGCTGTGTGTCCCCTTGAACAGCTGTGGAACAGTTGTACAGGTGACAAGTGTCCTGCCTGGCCTCCCTGGACCATGCAAAGGAAGCAGGAATCAAAACCAATATGTGTATTCTGAGATCTCACACTTCTTCTATCCATCCACAATGTTTCCCAAGGACCATGACATTTTTACCTGCATGGATTTTCTGGAAGAAATATTTCTGGGGGTAAAAGTGGATGCAGAATGAAACTTTTCAAATGATTTCCTTTCAGGATATTTAAATCTTCCTGGGGCAAAAACTGTAGGCTTTGGTGGTGAAAAGGAACTCTAGGCACAGGTTGTTACCCGAGCACCGCCACATTCCCTAGAAGGGATTCGGAGTTACAAGGCCAGCATCTCCACAATTGCTGCTGTGTTTATAAGGAGGTGAGCAGTTAGGAAGAATTGAGTTTCTTTTGAATGCACAGGAGAAAACAAGCCAAAAAAATTGTCACTTAAAGGCTTTATGGAACTTTTATAAAGAAGAATAAATATAATAAATTCATCTATGTGCAAACAAAAATAGGGAGTAAATTAAATGTATGAAAATAGTCACCCAATTAAATAAACATCTCCACAGTGGATACAATCAAACATAACTTTCTTAGGTTATGCACATTGCCTTCTTCCTGCCTCAAACACTACTATAATTAAAAATATCTGAGACCAGTCGGGCGTGGTGGCTCACACCTGTAATCCCAGCACTTTGGGAGGCAGAGGCGGGTGGATCACTTGAGATCAGGAATTTGAGACCAGCCTGGCCAACATGGCGAAATCCCATCTCTACTAAAACTACAAAAAAATTAGCTGGGCATGGTGGTGCACGCCTGTAATCCCAGCTACTCAGGAGGCTGAGGCAGGAGAATCGCTTGCACCCAGGAGGCAGAGGTTGCAGTGAGCCAAGATCAAGCCACTGCACTCCAACCTGAGTGACAGAGCGAGACTCTGTCTTAAAAAAAAAACCAAAATCTGAGACCATTTTTAAATATACAGGTGACCCCCCAACACTTTCTTTGGCATATCCACATAACAGTTTAGAAAAGCATGCAATGTGACAATTGCTGTACTAACCAAGAATAGGAAAATGTGTATGTTTTTGCCATTAAAACATACATGGCTTAGTTTTTACTACAAGTTTAGACAAGTGAAAATGTAAGGTATTACTTTATGAGTCATGTGATAGTGACACTTCTTATCCTACATTTTTCTTTTGTAACTCATCCAACTCTAGCTTGCCCAGAACACTAGCCACCTATTGCTAGCTGCTACACACATTTGCTCATGGAACAACCTGTGAGGCCTCTTCAAAGTCAGGTCATCCAACCCTGCAGCCTGCTGGAAAGTGGAATGGCTGTTCCAGGCCACCAGCAGACACCCAGCGGTTACCAACGTCAATGGAAGCATGCTGAATGGTGCAGCCTCAGCGCCTGAGCTCCCTGGAATCCCTACAGTGACTGTGGAAGGTTATGACATCCCACTTTCCCTTCCATTCGCTTGCAGGAAAGAGGAAGTCTGTTCCTTTTTTTTTTTTTTTTTTTTTGAGACGTTGTCTCGCTCTGTTTCCCAGGTTTGAGTGCAGTGGCGCGATCTCGGCTCACTGCAAGCTCCGCCTCCCGGGTTCACGCCATTCTCCTGCCTCAGCCTCCCTAGCAGCTGGGACTACAGGTGCACGCCGCCATGCCTGGCTAATTTTTTTTTGTATTTTTAGTAGAGACGGGGTTTCACCGTGTTAGCCAGGATGGTCTCAATCTCCTGACCTTGTGATCCGCCCACCTCGGCCTCCCAAAGTGCTGGGATTACAGGCGTGAGCCACCGCGCCCGGCCATCTCTTTTTTATTGAAAGCTTCAGTTGACTGCATTGTTCTATAGTGACTATTCACTTCCAGAATTGGGGAGACAATGACATACACACTCACAAAGATGCATAATGAGTACAAGATTTATTTGATACAAGAACAAATCCAGATTTCTGCTTAGAATAAACCTTTTGCCAATAGGTGTGTGCATAAGTAAATACAAAGAGTAAGAGAAAGCACATATGTGTGCAATTATTCCTGTTTCATAGTTGACTGTTCAAAGTGTTTCAATATAAGATGCTATAGACTGCAGATTTTTTATTGTCCATTATGCAAAGTCACTGGATGGTTTAAAATAAATATATGCAATGATCGGATAATTATTATAAATAATTATTTCCCTTTTAAATAGAGAAACAAACTGATGCATTAGAAATATTTTGGTCCTGGGCTGGGGGTAGTAGCTCACACCTGTAATTTCAGCACTTTGGGAGGCTGAAGCAGAAGGATTTCTTGAGGCCAGGAATTCCAGACCTGCCTGGTCAACATAGTGAGACCCTGTCTATGCAAAAAAAAAAAAAAAAAAAAAAAAGGTTAAAATTAGCTGGGTGTGGTGGCATGCACTTGTGGTCCCAACTACTTGGGAGGCTGAGCCAAGAGAATTGCTTGAGCCCAGGAGTTTAAGGATGCAATAAGCTATGATTGCACCACTGCACACCAGCCTGGTCAACATAGCAAGAACCTACTTCTGAAAAAAGAAAAGGAAGAAAGAAAGATTTTGGCCATAATAATTGCCAATTAAATATCCATACCAACGATAATCATTCCGTTATAGACTACAACCCCTCTGAGGGTAATGAGCATTTCTTTTGCAGGCAATATTCTTGATGAGGGGCACGGGAAACAAACATACATGCAAGCTGATGTGGCCCATCACTCTCTTGCCATTTTGGGCTTCGGAAAGAGGGAGAAGGTGATCAATATTTACCAAGGGCAACACCATTTTCCTGATCCCTGTGATACAAAAAGTTAGTCATGGTTCAGGTCACTAAGGGGTGGGAGGCAGTTGGAAAATGAAAGAAATTGGGCATAAAAAGGAGCCTTGCCTAATTGTAATGAAATAAATTAACTGTTTTGCCTATCTTTTCTATTAAAGAAAATAACAAAAGTAAGAATTAGTAAGTAAATTAGTATATTAGTCAGAGGACTCCAGAGAAACACAACCAACAGGGTAGACAGGTAGGTAGGTAGATAGATAAGTGTGTGGTGGGGGCATATATTTTAAAGAACTGGCTAACAATTGTGGGGGCTGGCAGGTACACAATCTGCAGGGCAGGCTGGTGGGCTGGAGACCTAAAGAAGCCTTGCAGTTCAAGTCCAAAGGCTGTTCACTGGTAGAATTTTTTTCTTGCTCAAAGAGTTCAGTGTTTCTCTACAAAGGCCTTCAACTGATTGGATGAGGCTCACCCACATTATGGAGGGTCATATGCTTTACTTAAAGTCTACTGGTTTAAATGTTAATCTCACCTTAAAAAATCTTCACAGAAACATCTAGAATAATGTTTGACTAAATATTTAAGTACCGTAACATAACCAAGTTGACACATACAGTTAACTATAACAATCAGTTTGCATTTTTTTATGCCACAAACCACCAAAAAATATAGTGGCTAAAAACAGAAGAACACGCAGACACTTGGGGCTGGGCTCAGGCAGGGCAGTTTTTCTCATCTTGGCTAAGCTCATGATGCTTCTGCAGGCAGGTGCCAGGTTGGTTGAGCACTGGCTGATCAAGGATGGCTGTAGAAGGAGTTCATTCCCTCTGTTCCATGTAGTCTCCCATTATCCAGCATATTAGCTTATACTTGGTCATGCAGCAGGTAGATGGAGTTCTGAGAGCTGGAGAGCAGAAGTACACAGGGCACTCAGGTCCTGGCTTGGAAGTGGCTCTGCATCACGGACGATAGGACAGTGCAAGTGATGAGGCCAACTGTGATTCCAGGGTAGAGAAATAGACTCTAACTCTTGATCAAAAATATTTAAAATAGAAGAGAATTAAGAAAAAGGACATGGAAAGGCAGAAAAGAGGCTCTGGGAAAGTTTGTGACTTGAAAAAAAAAACAGGTTTCAAACAGCGAAAAAATTTAGAGAAATTCTCTCCTTTATGAGTCATCATATGAACCATTAGATGTGTTTGGGGTGCTTGGATTAGCCAATCCCATATTGCCCATATTGCTGGTACTCTAAAATTAAATAGGTAGAAAGGAAGAAAAAAGAAATGAAGGAAACAAAAAGAACAAGCCAAAGTGATACGTTTAGTCAAAATAATTTCAAGAAATGTTTAATTAAATCTGAAACACAGATTCTAATATGGTTTGGGTGTCTCGCCACCCAAATCTCATATTGAATTGTAGTTCCTATAATCCTCACCTCTTGTGAGAGGACCCGGTGGGAGGTAATTGAATCATGAGGGCGGTTACCCCCATGCTGTTCTTGTGACAGTGGATGGTTTTGTAAGAGGCTTTTCTCCCTTTGCTCAGCACATCGCTCTCCTGCCGCCCTGTAAAGAGGTGCCTTTGCCATGATTGTAAGTTTCCTGAACCATGCGGAACTGTGAGTCAATTAAAGTCAATTAATCTCTTTTCTTTATAAATTACCCAGTCTTGGGTATGTGTTTATGAGCAACGTGAGAATGGACTAATACAGACACATCATTTTTTAACTGTAAAAAATCTAAGAAGTTTACCTTGTACGGAAATGATCACAAAAGGCAATTTCTCTCCTGCATGCCTTTTCAAAGGGCAAAATGATCTTTGCACATGGCTGTCTCAGTCTTTAATTCTAAGTAAATATTTATCCAGAGTTTAGGTACAAAAAAGAACCCCTTACTTGGCAGTTGATTTTATGAGGTCTCTCCTTCCACTCACCCCACTCCTTAAATGTAGGTCTGCTCTTCATGTGGTTTGGCTCTGTTTCTCCACCCAAATCTCATGTTAAATTGTAAGACCCAACGTTGGGGGAGGGATCGGGTGGGAGGTGATTGGATCATGGGGGCAGACATTCCCGTTGCTGTTCTTGCGATAGTGAGTCAGTTCTCACGAGATCTGGTTGTTTAAAAGGGTGTAGCACTTCCCCCTTCACTATCTCTTCCTCCCGCTCCTGCCATGTAAGACATGCCGGCTTCCCTTTTGCCTTCCACCATGATTGTAAGTTTCCTGAGGCCTCCCAAGCCATGTTTCCTGTACAGCCTGAGGAACTGAGAGTCAATTAAACTTCTTTTCTTTATAGATTACCCAGTCTCAGCTAGTTCTTTAAGGAGTGTGAGAATGGACTAATATAGCTCTCTTCTTATATTTGATAACAGAAAAGCTGAGAGAAATAAGCATACAAATGCTGAAGAATAAAATGCTTTGTGAGAGGACATGAAGAGGTAGTAGTCAATTTGGAATGTCCCAAGGGGATCACTAACTCATTGACTCACTCTGGAATTTCGAAACAACTTCCAAGCCTTTCTGTGGAAAGAAATGCTGGAAGCAGAGCATTTAAGGGCTTAGGAGTCATGCTGTGAGATCTGGCACCCCAATCACACGCCGTTCTCAGAGCAGCTTGGGGAGGCAATGGTTAAAGATTTTAGTGAGGCAAGCCCTGGCAGGGCTGCAATCCTGCCATGATGTAGTCTCATTGCATAGAAGTTGGTTGGTTCACAGCAAAGCATCCCAATATGAGGCCACCTAAAAGGCCAATCCATCACCTCCAGCTGGTGTGTGCTGAGCAGGAAAGGTGGGGGGCAGGAGGAATTCCATCAGCTTCCGCACTTTGTGCTCCGCACAGCTTATATCACTCTCCAGGCTGAATTTATGACCTTTCTGTCGGCTGCTTCTTTAATGCATAAGGCTAAATATCAGGGGCATGATTCAGACACTCAAGCACTCGAATGCCTACTACTACTAGGACCACGCAGGGGTGCGCTGACAGTCAGCATGGGATATTATAATTTACAGTCTAGCGTTCCGGGTGTCAGGTCCTCACTGAGCTGCTGGCATGCTTCATGCCATCTTTCCCTCTTATATTATATATAAAAAAGAGAGGTGCAATGTGTCAGATCCCAAGAGAAGCATGGTATGAGATGAGCAGTACTTTTTAATTTATTATTTTTTTAATTCGTGACTTTTCTTTTTCATTTTTATGGGAATTGTTTTGTGAATCAAATATGAATCTATTACATAAGGGAACTGTTGCAAATTTTTTCAGGACCTTCATGTAATCAGGAATATTAAAGGGTTTACTATTAATAAGACGTAAAACCTAAAATTCTCCAGACTTTGCAGTCTTTAGGAAAGTAGTATGTGTCTAAAAGTATAAACGCACATCTCAGTAACCCCTGCTCCTCCCTGCAGGTAGAAAGGATATTCAAGACCATATTACACTTAAGATTTGAAGCGTGGCAGGGTTAATGTCCCAATTGTCCGTCTGGACTTTCTTTCCTGCTTTTAGATCCAGCCCCCTTGCAGACACCTGCTGCCAGGAGGTCTTTGCAGAAGGTGCTTCCCACTGTCACAGCCAACAGCACTCCCTGGGTGCCCATTCAAGGCTTTTGCACCTACTCTGCAGTTGCAAGAGCCCTGTTGGTTCCTGTCTCCTTCACTGTGCTGAAACCAGGCTGCTGTCTGAGCAGCAAGGAAAGAGCATCTTCTCCCCCAACTTGCCTTACTTTCTTCCTGGACATGGAAGCAGAGATGTTGCTATATTCATACTTATTGAGGTCCCTTGTGAAATGATTTATTCAAGTTCCGACTTTGCCTCCACTCTGAGGACTCACACTCAAGTCCATGGAAATGGTCATCAGACCACTATCTTATACAGATGTTGGGCCATTTTTGTTGTCCTCCCAACCTCTTCCTCTAAACATGCTTTCAAAACCCGGCCTTAATTCTCTTTCAACAGAAAAAAAATGCTAAACCAAGTAAAGCAATGTAAAGTCAGAGAATCCTGAAGTGTGAATCTTATACACACTCAATGGTCAGTTAAAGTTCAAGTTAAGACTACAGCTGCACCTATATTCTTTTACAAATGACACCACATTTCTGCCAGGTACCATATTTCAAAATATATGACTCATTAAAAGAAATATTCCATGATCAAATAAATTTGGAATATCCTGCTTTGTAAATGTCCTCTTGGATATTTGTAGTACAAGACATACCTGGGGCACAGAACTGCTACATAAAATAATTTATTTGACATTGCTTAAACTTATTTGACAATAGGGCTAGGCATGGTGGCTCATGCCTGTAATCCCAGCTCTCTTTAGGAGGCTGAGGCAGGAGGATCCCTGGAGCCCAGGAATTCAGGAGTTCAAGACTGCAGTGAGCTATGATTGTCACTGCACTCCAGCTTGGGTAACAGAGTGAGACTTTGTCTCTTAAAATTGTTTTTTCTTTTTTAAATTAAAAACTTATTTGACAACAGGAATCTTTTCTATTTTTTTCTTAATAGTCTAGTTTCTGAGGAACCAGTGTTGCACAGAACAGAATTTGGCAAATAGTACTTCAAAAAATCCTAGGCCAATATTGTCAACAAAAACTTCTGTCCATTACTTACTGAGATAAAGTGAGGAAAGTCTAGTGAAACCTCTGAAGTAATCCACTCTCTTTCTGAATTAATATCAGCCCAGTTTCCCAGTGGGAAGCAGTGAGGGAGGGGGTGCAGCAGCAGACGGGTGTTCCAATGGAGCCTTCCAGCAGGTGCAGCACAAGCTTGAGACCAGGCCTCCCACAGAGGGTGCCCCTGCCACGATTGCAGTGTGCGGAGGAAAGTCTAATGTTGCAAGATCCTGCTGCTTTCAAGGGAAACAGATAGACCAGTTTTTGGTGAACTCTCATAATTTCTACATGTTGGCAATTATATTTAATTTCTTAAACAGAGAAAGGAAGACATCTTACATGCAGACACCCTCCTCCCCTCATCAGAAAATAAACTGAACAAAGACATTTTTAAAAACACAGGCACACTTTTGGATTGAGTCTAACCCATGGCTTACCAGGTTGCATTCTCCTATCTGGTTCACAGTTGGAAATCCAGAGGGGTAAGTAGAGAAAAAGAAAAAATTAAAGCTGTGTTCTTAAATTCTGCCTGCTTTTAACCACTGGATGCAGCCTGCTTATTGAAATAAACAACATAGTCCTTGTCATTATTTTATTACATCCTTGAATTCATAATTTATCTCCAGTGAAAGGGGGGATTATGTGGTAGGTGTTCACAGGCACTTTGATTCTCATGTGAAATGTTTTTATGCTGCTAACATCAAATAATCAATGTTGTAGGCCTTGCTCGCCCTGGGAATGTTGAAGATTAATTTTGGGGGGACTACAGCTAAAAAACAGAATTTAGTGATGAACTTGGCAATCATGTTATTATTTTAAATGGCTGAATTCCAATACATTATTGTCAAGAATAAAAAGGGTTTTATTTTAGAAAACTTTACAATTCAAGGGAACTCTCAATATTGGTTTGAGTCACCTGGGAATTTTGTAAAGCCCTGGCAGAAAATGTACATCAAAGGCAATTACCTCTCAGTGGTCCATACGGGGCCATCTTTGACAATATTTTCACCATGAATTGCTTGTTTCCACTTTGCCATTCAGCTTTGTACTCTGCCCCCAGGGAGCCCAATTAATACCCACACAGTCACACACACACACACACAAACACACATAATACATATACACATATGTATGAGTATCAATGTATTATATATTATACATATATTCCATAAAATAATTTTATTTGATATTGACAAGGGTTATATATTAATCATAGGACCCATTTTAATTTCAACATGAGAACCTGAATTATTTGTCACTCTTTATTAGCATATTTTACAATAGACTCTGACTCCCTGTGGAATGTATTTATCTTTTACCTTTGTTTCTTCCAGAGAACCTCAATAAAGACGATATCCTTTAAAAAGTATATTTTATTAATATAGCTTGGTTTAGGTTATAGACAGATTTTGCTACGTTTTCTTTGTGATCTCATTTTGGAAAGATTTATACCTGACAAGTTAACTATAATTTTATTTTTTATAAATTGCATTATTTTTGACATTCTAGTAGTTAATTTTAAAGAAATGCTTTCCTTTTAACAAGGATGAATCCATTCTGAATATATCTGTACTAAGAGTCTGGATTTCATAAAATGAATTTATTGAGGTGGGACACAAATATATTTGATAAATACTTGAACTGTATTGTGGTAATATTTGCCCTTGATTTAATGATTCTTCAATTCATTCTCTGTTTTCTCTGCAATTTAAGAAAAAGAGATTTTTGAAAGAGCAGAAATTATCAGCATCCCCTATCTACTTTTCAGGGGAATAAAGAGTTTTGTTTTGTTTTTGTTTTTGTTTTTTTCAATCTAGAAGACATCAAAGAAGCAGTCAGGCAAGGGGAAGAGAGTGGCTGGCACAGTTAAGAAAGGATGGGAAGAGGCAGATTTTTGGCAGAACTGAATGTGTTAATCTGCAGTGAAATTAGCGATTTAAAAAAGTATTTCTCAGCTGCACATCTGAAAAAAAAATTTATGGGTCTAATTTTCCTTTGGAAATTTAAAATCTTACAAACTCGTAAGATATAATTATCCAAGTTTTTCCACCCCACACTCACCATGCCCACAGAAAAGAGTGGGAATTATGTATGGATGTAAATGGGATGACTACTGCAAAGAATTTAGAAACATTTCAATAAACATACTTGCAAATATTTTCGGTATTTTAAAAAAGTAGGACACATATGTTAAACTCAAGGGAAGAGGGCCTAAAAGGGAATCTCCAAGTGCACAGTTTGCTTCTATATTTGTGTGAACCATTTGGTTAAGTATTTTACAAAATATCTACACTTTATTTTCCAGTCCTTCTGGAATTTTCAAAATACTGTATATCCTACAATAGACTTTTCAACATATGTGTAAGCTGTAGTGTGAAAATAATTGTGGAAATAATTCTAGATCTATATAATTCCACAACCTACTTGCCTTGAATTGGCTGCATGTGTTTTTCATGTAAGTATGCATAGAAAATGTTGAAGTGTTTCACACAAAACTCGTTTAGATCTAAAAGCATCTCTGTGATTGGTGAGGCTTTGCCAACCCTAAGGAAATTAGCAAAGATAACATTTAATAACATCAACCAAGAGAGCTCTTCCTTCATCAGATTTCTTTAAAATGTTTAAAAGTTTGGGTGAAATATAGAGATGTTTAGATCAAACACTCATACCTTAAGATATTTGATTGTAGAGAATGCTCTGCACACTTAGGTTTTCAAAAAAATTATTATTTAATGACATTTCTAGAAAAATAGAAATATTGCTAGGAAATGGTACTTTCTATTCCATCCCTCATTAGGAAAAATCTTTCTCCATTTCTGGGGTCCACCTATACTTCTGTTCTCAAAAGTTACTGAGAGTAGTTTTAAAATAGCCAAGGCTCTTTTTTTAACCTTCTTTTCCCTAAATCTCCTCCTCCTCCAGCTTTTCTTTTCCCATTTAAGATGTTATAAAAATTATCAAAGAAAAAACTAGCACTCAGCAGAACTATACACATGTGGGTGCTAAATAAATACTTTTGATGATGATGAATGTTGGCAATTCTCCATGGAAGAAAGACCTTACACAAAAGATGTTATAATTATAATGTTTAAATGATTATGCTATAATTATTATGTTAAAAATCTCCCATGCTCTCCGAACTGCTCGGTGGTGGCAGGGCTGTGACATTCCCATTCAACCTCATCTTATTGCTAAGGCACTTGCCACCTTTGCATGCCATGAAAAAACAGTGGCTTGGCCAAGTCAGGGCAGACCTGGGCAATGGAGGGAGCTCCTGGAGGGCCCTGCTCTCTCCCTTCCTCTTCCCACACTCTGCAAGTCTCCTGGCCACCAAAGGATCCCATTTTCCTAATTCTGCTCCAGGGTTTTATCTTTATTCTAACCACCCGCATTAAAAGATCTCATCAAGTTCCTTCATATCAAGTTTAAATGAGACTCCAAATATTACCTATCTCTCCTGGGTTAGGTAACTTTGCACAGAAAACAAAAAGAATAGAAGTTAAATAAATGAATATCTAATGATGGGACTTTTACCATTAGATGAGGTTCCCTGGAAGAAACCCTTGGAATTCTTTATCAGTTACCTAGGAATTTCCTGAGATTCAGAGATGCTAACATCTACACATTAGCATCATGATTTTAGAGGTATTCTTTTTTTATTTTGCTTTCTTAGGCCCCTACACTGTTTCCTAGATTGAGAATGACAGGCAGACTGGATGACTTTCATACACTCTTGAATGCACATTGATAACCTTTTACCATCCTCAGAGCCTTCTTCAAAATTCTAGCAAAGTCTGAGCTCAGCCAAGTTTTCAGTTTTAACTGAGTCAGCAAATATGAGTGAATTATCCTCTTTCTGTAGATATATGGTACAATTTACAAGGTGTGTCCGAATGAAAATGCTTTGAGGTTCTCTAGGATACATCAAAATGTCATTTATTCCTTAGAATTAAAAATCACTGAAAATAACCTTAGATTTTATTGATGTTGATAACATTTTGAAGAGTAGACAAGAAGAGCTTCAGAATGACACATGTCCACTGCCTGTATTTCTGACTTTAACCAGGATAACACAGAGGTGGGCAGATAGACCCTGATTCACACATAACTCAGACCTCCCCTCATAGCCTGCAAAGAATCCATCACACATCCTGGCACATGGCTGGGGCCTACCTAATGACAAATGCTATTACCAATGATCTCTTTTAATAGTCACAATCAAATTTATGAAATTGTTTCTTGAAGATAGGAGAGAAGTAGGATCAGGGAGGAGGGTGGCACAACAATACCTGTTGAGAGGACTTTGAGTGAGTGTGTTCCAACAGAAGGGAATGGCACAAGAGCAAAAAGACAAGTTCACAAACCAAAGTTGGAGGATTTGGGATTAATTGAAATCCTCAAGTGGTGCCTGGTAAGTGACTGCCTATTTAGAGCCAACAGATAGGTTTCCGTGAGGTTAAGGAAGCGAAAAATCCCATACGAAGCTAGTGAGATGTTAAATTCTAATTAGAAGTGTTAATTAAAAAAAAAATTCCAATTTCATCAGTGACAGTGCTTTTGTTGTTCCAATTCTCTTTGCTACAGTGAATCCTAAGTATCCTGACTCACTTTGTTCCAATATTATTTACCACTTCTGTAAGGGAGAGAGAAGTTGAGTCTGCGCACAGGAGCCTAGAGCCTCAGTTGCCTTCCCAGAGCCGCCATGATAAGAGACCTATCGGCGTTTCCATGGAAAATGCCTATTTTCAGGGCCTTATACTCAAGCATCAGAATTCACTGTGGCTCAAAGTTTAGCAAAATGAGTGTGGGACTCTCAGGAAGAAAAAGGATTTATGTAATTCTTCTTCAGAGCATCTCTTCGCCACTCTTTTCTACTTTTGATACCTTCAAAAAATAGCCAGTGAATTTCCATGACTTAGATGAGGTTATTTTGTGCTGTGTATGAAGTTAAATATGAAGTGATAATATCATTTAACTGACATTTTGCAGACCATTAATCCAAAAGGAGGATTAAACCCTTTGAATGAGCAAGCAAATATTAGCTGCCTGAAATTATATTTAAAATTAAACATGAAATTAAATCTAATATTTAACAGATTTCAAAAGAATATGTATATGTACATTAATATTTTTATTTCAGTAATAGTAATCAACGTGCTCCAAATTATTTAATGTAATATTAAATGTTTTCTGTTATGCTTTCCACTGATGCTTGGATAGTTCCAAATTTTACAATAAACATTATGAAAAATTGTTATCTATAGTATTTAAAAGGTGTCTTAAATACAAACCTTGAGCACAAGAGGGCCTATTTAATAAAATGTACAATATCATTTTATTTCAAATACTTATTTAAGCCACAATAGTTATTTAAAACCATCGTAGTTAATATAACATATTTTCAGAAAATATATTAATATGTATACCTGTATTTAACCACGATTTTGCCAGAACACATGATGTCATCTCATAGATTTTTAGAGTGTCTTCTTTGATGCTAATATAAAAAATAGAGGATGTAGTTAAAGAAAGTCAAAGTATGTTAAAATCCCTAAAAGCCACCATTTCTAAGGTTAGACTCTTTTAAATCATTTTGCTATTACTGTACAATTTGTTTAAAAATTGATGAAATTGTATTTGTAAATTATTGTGGAAAACATATGAAATAGTCCAAGGAAAAATAAAAACTAGGTACCATTTGTTTTAGCTCTTCAGTCTATCCTAAAAGCATGCTCCACTTTTTGCAGGATTCTTGGTGGAATATAAGTCCCTCTCGCTCTTCTCTGCTGTCTCTTGGCCACTCAGAGCCTCCAGTTACACCAACTCCCAACACCACCTGCCCCGCCCCAACCTAGGGACAAGGGTAGGCACTTCCATTTCAAGATTCTACGTCAAAATAAAACTGCCCTAGATTCCATTTTTTCTGGGTTCTTTTTTCTGTAGCAGAGAGAAAAAGTCCTAATTTAGGTTCTTTTTGATTTGAAGTAGAATTTTCAGGGGTCAGGATAGGTCAGTGAGTCCCTAGACATATATGGTTTCAGAACATCTCAACCTCCATCATACTTGGTAGATACCATATGATAGAGGATAAGACAAATCAGTCATCAGTTTATACTTAACGTTTCTTCCTCATTAGTCATTACTTTAAAAATACATCGTAGAAACCTAAAGGCCTTACAATTGTTAATATGCCCCTTTATTCAGGGTTAAAAGCATTAACATTTTAATGGCTGAAGCCAGAATGCCTGTGGGGGCAGAGGGAACTCCTTCTTTCAATAAGAATCCATGGGTGCAGTAGGCTCTCTCCCAGTATGGGTGTTGGCAGGTGCTGGGCAGGAGGGGAAAGGGATAGCCTGGTGTACATGCTATAGAAAGATACATTTGTTGGTTTTGTTCTCAAAAGGGAAAAGGAAAGAAAAATCAAGAGGACAGAGAAAAAAGCCAGGAAGAATAAATGGCAAGAGGCTAGAATTTATTGTAGGAACAGTGAAACCTCCCTAGGGAGAAGTAATAAAAATTATAATGATGGTGCTAATTGTGTCATTCAAAATTACCTGTACACCTGGATGTCACTCTTTCCCATGCAGGACCAATAGAGCCTACTAGACTCCTGGAATTTTTATCTGCATGAAGATACAGTAGTACTTAAAAGGGCTAGATTCTGCGTTTAAACGGGAATAAGACACCAGGGAAGAAGGAATCAAATACTCAGGAAATAAGGAAAGCTATGTTGATGCAAGCTTCTTATACATTTGCAGAAATCTAGAAGATTTCTGCACAGACCGTGGTGTTGGAAAGTAGAATTGAAGCCAATGTTACTTTACTCTTAATAAAAAAATGTGGCTGGGTGTGGTGGCTGATGCCTGTAATCCCAGCATTTTGGAAGGCCAAGGCGGGCAGATCACCTGAGGTCAAGTGCTTGAGACCACCATGGTCAACATGATGAAAACCTGGCTGTACAAAAAAAAAAAAAAAGAAAGAAAAAAAAATTAGCCAGACACGGTGGTGCACACCTGTAATACCAGCTAGCTACTCGGGAGGCTGAGGCAAGAGAATTGCTTGAACTCAGGCAGCGGAGGTTGCAGTGAGTTGAGATCATGCCACTGCACTCCAGGCTGGGCGACAGAGCGAGAATCTGTCTCAAAATAAATGAATAAATATTTTTAAATTTCAGGTTATGTTTCTTATTGGACAAAATGATCATCATATATAAATTTGGTGAAGACAGTTTTACAAATATTACATATTGATTTTATATCACATATATGATATTTTACACACACACACATACACCCCCCCCACACACACACATATGTAGAGAGAGGAAAAAAAGGGAGAGAGAGAGAGAGAGAGAGAGAGAGGAAGAAGGGACAGTAAAATACCTAAGGTTGGTACCCCAGGCTAGATTTGAATTTGGCAGACTTAATGTTGTAAACGTTGGCTTATGAATTGATATCCTCTTAGAAGGATTTCCCATCATATACATTGGTCAACTCACACCTGGACTAATACTTCAATGTAGAGAATATTAACAAGTCAAGAACACTCTGAAGAGAGCAACTAACTGGTAAACAACTAGCTAATAATATTTACTGAGCATTTTAATTGGCCACCTATAAATTCATTTTATTCTCACAGGAGACCTCTTAGGGCGGTACTATTAATATCACCACGTTCGAATTAGGAAACTAAAGAACAGAGAAGTTAAGCGACTTGTGCAACGTCACACAGCTAGTAAGTGATAAAGCTGAGATTGAAACCAAATTATGGTCAAATCCCAACTTCTTAATCAATATACAATACTGCCTCCCTAATAAGATCAGTAAAGATCTATAAAAGTGTGTTTTATGAGGAATTATTGAGGGAACTAAAACTGTTTAACTTGGAAAACAAAATACTTTAGGGGGAAAAGAAGAGTAAAAAAAGATATTTTCCAAGACACACTGAAAATCAGACCTGAGAGAGGTCCAGGGTCAGCTCCTCTCTATTGATGTGATGCCTCTAATTGTGTAACGTCTTTGAACTTGAACATCTCTGGAAAAATCTTAACAGCAAAATTCCTTATCCCTAAAACAAAGGAAAAGAGAGAAATGTAAGTTTTAATAGGTACCATCCTCAAGAATTTTGGGAGAGGACTGAATTCTAACAGGCAAATGTAACTAAGTATAGAGTATCAATGATAATCAGAAAATTGGCATTTTGTTTATATGTTTTGTTCTCCTATATATTCAAAATATGTGTGGTGGTCCCAGGAGTCCAAGCACTTCTCGTTGCCTTGCAGGATTTCTGGGCATCCAGGACTGAGCATGATGGTCCTTGGTGTGTTGGCCAAGGTGATGGTGGCCTTGGGGCCTCTAGTTACACACTGACCTTGCTGTATGTACATCTGCATCAGAAGTTTTACCTGTCAACCCAGCCAGCCCAATACCACCAGGTAAAACCTCCTGGCAAGCCCGTCCTTATTCCTTCCAGTTTCCTCATTCCAAGTCCCTATCTTCTCAGAAGGAGAGGATGACATAGCCCATACTACCATCTTTTCAGACCCTCTTTCTTCATCTCTTATGAAAACATGCTTTTATGAAAGAGTCTTAGGTCCAATACAGATATGTACAAATTAGTGTGAATGTAAGAAAATTCACTGCTTTTCCTATTGACAGTTTAACTTTGTAAAATATTTTAAGTAGCTATGGAATTCTACTGTTATCTTTGTAAAATAATCCAAGAATAAGTAAATATTTTAAGTGGAAGAAATATTTTAAGCAGGCATTTCTAAATTAAAGTGACCATGTGTGTGTTTGCACATGCAAACAAAAACAATGCTTTAGTTTACCAGCCATACTTTCGAACATATGCATATCTTCATTCCATTTTCACTTTAATACAAGGCTTACCCATTAAAGCAGATGTTTAGAAAAGCTAATATCTATTGCAAAATTTTCTAGTGATTACAACCAGGGATTCACATCCGCAGTAACCTAATCATGAGGAACACTAGGCTCAGGCTTTGAAACCCAATTGTTGAAGGAACACAAGAAGACACATTAAACCACCATAAATTTCACCATCACCAGCTAATCATGGTGGATTGAACACATTCATTTACCACTTCTCATTCCATAAAATGGCTGCAATGGCATTAAAGGCAGTAAAGACAAAAGATTTAAGCCAGCAATGTCTTAGACATGTCAACAATAGGAACACATATAGAGATGACGGAAATTGAGAAAGTTGAAAACTAAAAGCCTGCAGAAGTGTTTCTAATGAGAAGAAGCCAATTCATGCTGCAGAAACCCAGAACTTGGGTATCAGGAATCTTAGAAACTTTTCTGAGGATTGGCTGAAAATCCGATTATAAAGTAGCTTAGATATGAGATCTCCTTCTTCAGCCAGGGTGCTGAGCAACAACCTGTGAGAGGGAAGTTAATTCCTTGGGGAAATTCAATTGAAGAACATCTGGACTTGGGTATTATTGAGAACAGGAGGGGGTCAGTGTAGACACAGGACTGGAATAAAGGGGATGATGTGAGTCTATGCCTGATCAGTCAGATCACTAGTCTTTCCCCACTCAGCTCCTGACACACTGGTTTCAGTCGCCCTCTTCTCCTATGCAAGGGTTAGAGGAATCTCCTGCACAAAGTCTGTATGTCTCCAGAGAAAAGTCCTGCAGATATCGAGGTTGTGTGTTCTTCCAAAAAATACCCATCCAATCACCATAAGTGAAACACAAATAGACCACTCCATCATGTAAACAGTGTATCCAATCATTTTAATGCCTTATTTTCAAACCTGAATAACTGACCAAGCGTCTTAAAACCACTAAAGGCCGGGCGTGGTGGCTCAGGCCTGTAATCCCAGCACTTTGGGAGGCCGAGGCGGGCGGATAACGAGGTCAGGAGATCAAGACCATCCTGGCTAACATGGTGAAATCCCGTCTCTACTAAAAATACGAAAAATTAGCTGGGCATGATGGTGGGCGCCTGTAGTCCCAGCTACTCAGGAGGCTGAGGCAGGAGAATGGTGTGAACCCGCGAGGCAGAGCTTATAGATCGTGCCACTGCACTCCAGCCTGGGGAGAGAGCGAGACTCCGTCTCAAAAAAAAAAAAAAAAAAAAAAAAAAAAAAAATAGGAAACCACTAAAGTGAAAGGCCAAAAATAAGGTAAGTAAAATTTAGAAAGAAAGATAACTGTAAATCAGTAAAAAAAAATATAGAATGGCTGATTACAATATTGAAACTGCAATATTCTCAGAGTAATAAGAGAAGATATTACATCTATGAAATATGAACAGGAGGTGAAAGACAGGAATTTGGAATGAGCTCATGGGAATAAATATGATGAATTTTTAAAAGCAAGAGAATAGTTTGAAGAGCAATTTAATTAAATATTCCAGAAGGCAGAACAAAAGAAAAACTAAAGATGGATAATAGGAGCTAACACATTAAGAAATGAGAAAAAATCTGATGGATTTTCAGAGAGACCAGAGATACCAAAGGGAAAAGATTTGCAAGGAATTAAATAAATAATATTTTACAGTACACATGCTTCTGGATTTAAAGTGCCCATTGAATACCCAGTAAAATGCAAGAAAAATATTTTTACTAAGGCATACTTATGGTAAAAATTAAGAACCTATGAAATAAGCAAAAATCCTAAAAGCTTTCAAAGCAAAAATAAATGTTGTATATAAAAGAGAAGAAACCATAATGAATGAATTCAATAGCAACACAATAAGCAATAAAATCAACCAAAGTATCTCAAAAATTTTGAGGGAAAATGAATTTCACCTAAAATTTTATCACCAGCCAAAGTGTTAATTGTGAGAGCAAAATAAAGCCCTTTTCAAATTACACAGTTGCAAAAATATACATACAACTGGAGATTCCTTCTTGACACACAACTGGAATATGTCCTCCATCAAAGTAAACTGAAAAAATAGAAGAATCTGAGATTTATTTCACAGAACAGGGAGGAGAAAGGATTTTTCAGAATATAAGCAAAGGTAAGTTCCAATATTTGGCAGCAGACCAAGAAAAAGACTGGATAAATTCGGAGCAGAAGGATGGAAATCTGTAAATAAAAGTTTTGCAGGCAATAACAAAAATTCAAAAAGGGTGAATGGGAAAACTAGGAATTATTACATGTTGCATTGAATATAAATGAGAAGAGTTTTACAGAGTTGCAGAATTTGTGCAAATTCATGTCCATGCGGTAAAAATATATAAGCAAATGGAAAATCTAGGCATTGTTAATTATAGGAAAAGCAAACATTTGCAGGAAAAAGAAGAAATGTAATAACTGTATATTACTCAGCTCAGTGATGAAAATACTTACATATTCATAATAAAGTCAAAACTCAACACTGTTTTAAACTGGAATTTTACTGTAGCTGCTTTGGAGGATAAGAGGAGGTAAAGTAGTGTTATGTAAAGTCTTCATTACCATTTTACATAAGATAAAGACCTATCCCCTCCCCACATCAGAAGAAACAAGTAATTGACCAGATCACACCACCATGTGTTTAATTCATTCATGCAAACATTATACAAGATACACATGCTTCCAATTCCAACATTTTTTTTTTTTTAGAGAAAGACATTTCAGTTCTGACTTTTTATCTACAGGTTATGTTGAAATAAGTACACTAATAACAATAATATGCACTAAGGAAAATATGGGAAATAAATTTTTAAACACATACATGCAACATTTTTCAGTTTTATCCACAAGCACTCTGCCTGAGGTTAATTTATCTAGCCAGCCATCAGAATACTAGATCAATACTATAGTAAAACTTCAAGGAGCAATTTATTAGCAATAGGATGCTGGGTGCACCTAGCAACCTGCAGTTGTGACCATCTTTCTCAGGTGTTTTTGATACTTAGAGCCACCTTTGTGTATCTTGGACTTATGCCAAGGTAATTCCATGAGGTGGTTTTAAAACCTTTCCTAGTGAAGCCTGCTGGGCTGTCTACAGAGAATGATTCATAGGTCATTTGCACTCTTTATGTGTAGATGGAACAACTTTCTTTTAAAGGCATTTCCTCATATTTATCCTTTTGGAAGTTCATATGCCAATTTTCTGCCCACTGACACAGGTTTTTGAAATATTTCTGCGGCTGGCATTTCACTGTCTGGCATTTCAGTATCTGTGAACTCACTCCCCAGATCATTTATAACACTTTAAAATGAGCCCGGTACCCACACCACGCTTTGGAGAAACTCACTAATTAATAACAGTATAGAAATCCCATCCCACCTTACTCCCCATTCCTCTCGCTGTGTCTCTAACCCAGGTCCTTGTGCAAGTCACATGAGACTGCTCAAGCCTATGTAGATGCTCTGATCAATTTTTCATAAGTTTATGAACTTACATCATTTTTACGTTTTGGGTTATCCTTTCTTTTTGTCTATACTGCAGCAGGTCATTTTATTATTACTTATTACTGTGCCTCTTGTTTGTATGTGACAGAAACTCAACTCAAACCAGCTTAAATAGAAAGAGAAGCCGTTGCAGGGATTTAGAAGTATTTCATAGAAACCAGAAGCAGGATTGAAGCCTGGACTCAAGAAAGACTGGAAACAGGCATTTTATATACCATCATTTCCATTTTCTCCTCTCTGTGAACCATTTTTGTTTTTCTTTCGAAAGAACCATTTTGGCTTCTCTGGTTCATACAGCAGAGCTGCTTTTCATTTCTTTTTCATGTTGATGAAACATATAAAAGAACAAAATAACACCACTTTTTGTTTTGATTGGATTTTTGTTACTAGTGAAGGTGAACTTATTTTCTTATTCTTCTTTATTTTTCTATTAGTAGTTATTTGTAAATTCCCCTTACTTAGGCTATTTCTTCTGCTGAAATATTCATAATTTTAATTTCTTTAGAAGAATTTTTTAGGTTTTTAGGATATTAAACCCTTTTCTGTAATACAGATTCCCAGTTTGCTGTTTGTCTCCAGCTTTCTGTGTAGTATTTGCCATTAAATAACTTTTTATTATTCTTTTTTATTTTAGTATGTACATTTTAGGTTTATCATCTTTTGCCTTTACACAAAACATGTGGCAAACTATGCTTTTTTATAATTACAACTTTTAAATTAGAAGAAGGGGTACATCACCTTACAAATCTTAGATGAGGGTTTATTACGTGAGTGTATTATGTTATGTTGAGTTTTAGGTACAAATGATCCCGTCAACCATTTAGTGGTCATAGTATCCAAAGTTTTTTCAACCCATGTCTCCTTCCCTCCTCCCTCCCCTATCAGGAAGTCCTCAGTGTCTGTCGCTCATCTTTATGTCTATGCGTATTCAATGTCCAGCTCCCATTTATAAGTAAGAACACGTGGTATTTGGTTTTCTGTTCTGATGATCATTCACTTAGGATAATGTTCTCCAGCTCCATTCATGTCATTGCAAAGGACATGATGTCATTCTTCTTTATGGCTGTGTAGTATTCCATGGTGTATATGTATCACATTTTCTTTATCCAATCCGCTGTTCATGGGCACCTATATTGATTCTGTGCCTTTGCTATTGGACATACTGCTGCAACAAACATGAGTGCATGCGTCTTTTTGACAGAATAAATTATTTAACTCCAGGTATATACTCTGTAGTGAAATTATTGGGTCAAATGGTAGTTTTAAGTTCTTTAAGAAATCTCCAGACTACTTTCCACAGTGTCTGAAGTATTTTGCATTCACACCAAGACTGTGTAAGCGTTCCCTTTTCTCTGCAGCCTCACCAACATCTGTTTTTGTTGTTGCTGTTGTTGTTTTGTTTTGTTTTGTTTTACTTTTTAATAATAGCTATTCTGAATGGTGGGAGACCATATTTTATTGTGGTTTGACTTTTATTTCTCTAATGATTAGTGATGTTGAGCACTCTTTTCATGTTTTTTGACCACTTGCACATCTTCTTTTGAAAAGTGTCTGTTATGTCCTTTTCCCATTTTTAAATGGATTATTTGTTTTGTGCTTGTTGATTTGTTTAGGTACCTTGTAGATTCTGGATATTAGGTCTTTGTCAAATGCATATTTTGTGAATATTCTCTCCCTTTGTGTAGGCTGTCTGTTTACCCTGTTGGTAACTTCCTTTCCTGTGCAGAAGCTCTTTAGTTCAATTAGGTCCCACTTATCAATTTTTTGTTTTTGTTGTAATTGTTTTTGGGGACTTAACCATAACCTTTTGCCAGAGCCAATGTCGAGAAGGGTATTTCCTACAATTTTTTCTAGGATTTTTATAGTTTGAGCTCTTACATTTAAATTTTTAATCCATCTTGAGTTAATTTTTATGTGTAGTAAGAGGTAATTGTCTAGTTTCATTCTCTGCATATGGCTGGCCAGTTACCCCAGCACCATTTACTGAATAGGGAGTCCTTTCCCCATCACTTATTTTTATCAATTTTGTCAAGGATCAGATGATTGTAAGTGGATAGATTTATTTCTTGGTTCTCTATTCGGTTCCATTGATCTGTATGTATGTTTCTATACCAGTACCATGCTGTTTTGGTTGCCATAGCCTTACAGTATAGTTTGAAGTTGAGTACTGTGATGTCAGCTTTGTTCTTTTTGCTTAGGGTTGCTTTGGCTATTTGGCCTCTTTTTTGATTCCATATAAATTTTAGAATCAATTTTCCTAATTCTGTGAAAAATAACATTGATATCTTGATAGGGATAGCATTGAATCTGTAAACTGCTTTGGGCAATATGGCTGATTTAACAATATTGGTTCTTCCAATCTATGGCCATAAAGTATTTCCATTTATTTGTGTCATCTACATTTCCTGAGTTATTCTTGTGGAGATCTTTCACCTCTCTTGGTTGGATGAATTCCTATGTATTTCTTTGTGTGTATCTGTGTGTGTGTGTGTGTGTGTGTGTCTACTGTAAATGGGATTGTGTTCTTGATTTGGTTCTCAGCTAGAAAGTTATTGGTGTTTGAAACGTTACTGATTTTTGTACATTGATCTCATATCCTGAAACTTTACTGAAGTTACTTATCAGTTCCAGGAGCCTTTTCACTGTCTTTAGGGTTTTCTATGTATAGAATGACATTGCCACCAAAGAGAGATATTTTGACTTCTTTTTCTATTTGACACCTTTTACTTCTTTCTCTTGATTGATTGCTCTGGCTAGGACTTCTACTGCTATTCTGAATAGGAGTGTGAAAGTAGGCATTCTTATCTTCTTCCAGTTCTCAAGGGGAATGGCTTCAACTTTTGCCCATTCAGTATGATGTTGGCTGTGGGTCTGTCATAGATACCTCTTACTATTTTGAGGTATGTTCCTTTAATGCCCAGCCTGTTGAGGGATTTTATCATGAAGAACATTGGATTTTATAAATGGTGTTCTTTTTCCATTGAGATGATCATACGGTGTTCGTTTTTTATCCTATTCATGTGGTGAATAACATTTATTGATTTGTCTATCTTGAACCAACCTTGCATCCCAAGAAAAAAAGCCTATTTGATCATGGTGAATTCACTTTTTGATATGCTGCTGAATTCAGTTTCCAAGTATTTTGTTGAGGATCCTTGGGTCTATGTTCATCAGGCATATTGGCTAGAACTTTTCTTTTTTCATTGTGTCTGCCAGATTTTGGTATCAGGATGATGCTGGCTTTGTAGAATGAGTTATGGAGGATCCCCTCCCCCTCATTTTTAAGGCATAATTTCAAAAGAATTGGTACCAGCTCTTCTTGTACATAAGATGTAATTCAGCTGTGAATCCACGTAGGCTATTTTTTACTGGTAGGTTTTTTATTGTTGATTCAATTTTGGAACACGTTATTGGTTTGTTCAGGTTTTCACCTTCTTCCTGGTTCAATCTTGGAAGGTTGTGTATTTCTAGGAATTTATCCTTTTCCTCCAGATTTTCTAATTTGTGTCTGTAGAGCTATTTACAATACTCTCCGAGGATCTTTTGCATTTCTATCGGATAACTTGTAATCTTTGCCATCTCTGATTGCACTTATTTGGCTTATTTGGATCTTTTTTTTCCCTTGTTAATCTAGCTAGTGATTTATCAATCTTGTTTATTCTTTTGAAGACAACTCTTGGTTTAATCATCTTTGGTATAGACTTTTGGGTCTCCATTTTGTTCAGTTCTTCTCTGATTTTAGTTATTTACTTTCTTCTGCTATCGTTGGGGTTGAATTGTTCTTTTCTCTTAGTTCCTCTAAGTGTCATGTTAGATCATTCATTTAAGATCTTCCTAGCCTCTTGTTGAAGACATTTAGCACTCACTATAAACTTCCCTCTTAACACATTTAGCTGCATCTCAGAGATCTGGGTAAGTTGTGTCTCTATTTTTATTAATTTCACAGATTTTTTTTTTTAATTTCTGCCTTAATTTTATTGTTTACCCAACAGCTAATCAGGAGGAAGTTGTTTAATTTCTTAATTTCCATATTTTCATGTAGTTTCGAGACATCTTGGTATTGATTTCTATTTTTATTGCACTGTGGTCCTACAGTGTGATTGATATGACTTTGATTTTTTTTTAATTTTATCGAGACTTGTTTTATGACCAAGAATGTGGTTGATCTTAGACTATGTTCTGTGTGCAGATCAGAATAATGTATATTCTGTGTTTATTGGGTATTCAGTAGATGTCTATCAGGTCCAATTCATCAAGTATTGAGTTTAATTCCAGAATTTCTTGGTTAGTTTTCTGCCTTGATGATCTTTCTAACACAGTCAGTTAAGTGTTAAAATCTCCCACTATTATTGTGTGGCTGTCTAAGTTTCTTGTAAAGAAAAACTTCTTTTATGAATCTGGGTGCTACAGTGTTCGGCGCGTATATATTTAGGATGGTTAAGTCTTATTGTTGAATTGAACCCTTTATCATTATGTCATGCCCTTCTTTGTCTTCCCTGATTTTTGTTGGTTAAAGCCTATTTTATCTGATATAAGAATAGTAACTCCTTCTCTTTTTTGTTTTCCATTTGCATGGTAGATCTTTCTCTATCCCTTTACTTTTAGCCTGTGGCTGTCATTATATGTGAGGTATATCTTTGGAAGACAGCAGTATATCTCTGGAAGACAGCAGACAATTGGGTCTTGTCTTTCTATCTAGCTTGCCAGTCTGTACCTTTTAAGTGCGGTGTTTAGGCCATTTACATTCAGGGTTAGTATCGATATGCAAAATTTTGGTTCTGTCATTATGTTGCTAGCTGTTTATTTTGTAGACTTGATTGTGTAGTTCCTTTATATTGTCTGTGGGCTATGTGCTTGAGTGTGTTTGTGTGGTAGCAGGTTTCAATCCTTTGTTTCCAAGTTTAACACTCCCATAAGGACATCTTCTAATTCTGGTCTGGTGGTAATGAATTCCCTTAGTGCTTGCTTGCCTGAGAAAAATTTTATTTCTCATTTGCTTATGAAGCTTAGTTTGGCAGGATATGAGATTCTTGGTTGGAATTTCTTTTCTTTAAGAATGCTGAAAATAGGCCCCCAATCTCCTCTGGCTTGTAAGATTTCTGCTGAGAGGTCTACTGCTAGCCTGTTGGGGTTCCCTTTTTAGGTGGTCTAACCTTTCTTTCCACCTGCCATTAAGATTTTTTTTCTTTTGTGTTGACTTTGGTAAATCTGATAGCTATGTGCCTTGGGGATGGTCATCTTGTATAGTATCTCTCAGGAGTTTTCTGTATTTATTTAATTTGTATGACCACCTTGCTACCAAGATTGGGGTAATACTCAAGGACTATATCCTCAAATATTATTTCCAAGTTGCTTACTCTCTCTCCTCTTTCAGGAATGCCAATGAGTCATAGATTTGGTCATTTTATATAATCACATATTTCTTAGAGGTTTTGCTTATTTTTTAAATTCCCCAAGAAAGGGGAACTAGAATTTGAAATTGTAAATTCTTTATTTTTGTCTGACTTAGTTGACTCAAAGAACTGGTCTTTAAACTCTGACATTCTGTTCTCATCATTTTCTATTCTATTGCTAATGCTTATGATTATATTATGAAATTCCTCGATTCCAGAAGTTCAGTTTGGTTCTTTCTTAAAATGGTTATTTTGTCTTTCAGCTCCTGGATCATTTTACTGGATTCCTTAGATTGAGTTTCAACTTCCTACTGGAACTTGATGAGCCTCTTTGCTATCAAGACTCTTAATTCTGTGTCTGTCATTTCAGTCATTTCAACCTGGTTAAGAACCATTGCTTTATTGGTTTGAAGGTAAGTGGACACTACAACTTTTTGAATTGATAGAGTTCTTACATTGATTCTTTCTCATGTATGAAGGCTGGTGTTCCTTTAAATGTGATGTGAGTTGAGTATAGAGAGTTGGCTTTCCTTCTTGGCACTTTCAGAAGGCCAAGGCCCTTTATCTGTGGCTAGATTGTTGCTTACTTTTCATAAGCACTGTACACTAGCAAAATATTTTGGTGGTATAATTTGGGCTGTGATCCAGTAGGTGGTACCAAAGAGTGGTGCCCACAGGCTGTTAGTTTCATGGGTTTTTTTTTTTTTTTTTGTATTTTTTGGCATATTGGCAGCAGTGCTCTGTGGTTGGGGGAGAGAGATGACTCCTTCACCTGGTCTACTCCTGGGCCTTGGAGGAGGCCCCTGCAATCACTGGCACTGCACTTGTATTTTCTTTGTTACATGTTCTGGACCACAGGGCTCCCTCAGGCCGAGGCCAGGTTGGCAGACAGGTCATGCCCTTCCAGACTACCTCTGTGGAGGGAGGCACTTCCTGCTCTCCCTCTGGCCTACGAGCCCAGGTGTCACACCCCTCTCAGTGTTCTGACAGTGGGGAATTCCCTGCTTGAGTGCCTCCTAAGCAGGTGAGTCTTACCCACCTAGGAGGAGTGGGAGTGGGTGGAATCGCCTGTTCCACCACCTGGGTGCTTCCTGAAGGAATATGGAGCTACACCTGCCCACAGAATTCAGACAGAAGCAAGTCCCTGGAGCTCTGCCCAGCTGGTGTGTCCCACTCAGATAGAAACAGCAGAGGTTGGTGGGGTCACCTCATCCACCCTCTGAGTGCTTCCTGGAGGAACGTGGAGCTGCACCCACCTGCAGAGTTCAGGCTGAGGTAGGTTTACTGTGCTGGAAACCCCAGCTTACATGTTCCACCCTGCAATGAGCAGCAGGGTTGAGTGGACTTGCCTGATCTGCTGTCCACATACTTCCCCAGGGGTGCATGGAGCTGCATCCACCCACAGTGTGCAGGCAGAAGTGGATCCAGTTGTGTTGGAAGAGCCAGCCAGCATGTGAACCTAGGTAGAAGCAGTGTGGGTGGGCGGAGTCACCCTGTCAGCCACCCAGGTGTTTCCTAGGGGAACACAGAGAGCTGTGTCCCCCCACAGAATTTAGGGAGAGGCAGGGCCAGTGTGCTGGAAGCTGGGGGAGGGCAGTGAAACAATCTTATTGCTCCCAGGCATAGGGACTGCAGCCTCCATCATGGATATGGCCACTGTTGCTAGGCTGCTCTGAGATCCAAGGCCTGTGGGGGTCCCTGTGAGCTTCACTGTTGCTTCTGGAAGAACTCCAAGTGGTTTTCTCTATTAGTCTAGAGACTTAGGGGGATGAGGGGACTCTCCCATTCCCAGGCTTGCACTAGTCCCCGTGGGAAGTGTGGATCCCCAGGGGCTCTCACTCGCTCACTCTTTCTCCATGTTGGGGAGCTTCTGCTGGCTCCATGTAGCTCCCTGATGGGCAGCTGTTCAGCTGTGCTCTTTTCTGTTCTCCATGGCCCTTCCCTTCCATAATGAATCTTGTTGTAGTTTCTTAGATCAGCTTGCAGAGTCAGTGTTCACTTGCCACTTTGTCTCCTTGCTGTGGGAGCAGTGCAATCAAGCTGCTTCTAGTCCACCATCTTTACCCCTGCTAAAAATTTTTAATGTTTCCATTTTTTTCCAGCTGACAATTTTTTCTTCATGTCTAGAAAGTCATTCAATGACTACAGATATTCTTCTACATTGTAACCTAGTAATTCTATGATTTTTAATAATACTTTCTTAGATGTGTCTGGATTTCACCTTATAAGACATAAGAAAGATAGATAAACCTCTTTATGTTCAGATATTTTGCTACTTGTTTCAATAAATTTGTTGAAAGCCCCTACTTTTGAGAAGGGAGTTAAATTTTCTCTTAACTAGTTACATTGATTACCTCTTAAATAATTCTGGAGAGAATGAGAGCCGGCAGCCTGTTTGGTTATTCATTTTATTGTAGAATGTTGACCCCTCCAGAATGGGCTCTTGGTTTGAGAAATATGTGTTTGAAAATATTTAAGATGATATATATCTGGAATTTTTAAAATATTAGAATAAAATCATTCATCAGATTCAAACTTCACAGAGTCCATCAACCTTGATATGTGTGTGATTCTCTCTTTGCCTCATTAAGTGGAAGTATTATGATATCTGTTTTGTCAGCCATGGTGCTAGGCATAAGTTCTCATGTAACAAAGGCATGGCATCAGAAGATATGGAATTCTCATCCTACTTTCACCTTGGAAATTATTTAGTCTCTCCTGATCTCAGTTTGCTTGGGAAAGTTATAAAGTTACCTTAAGGGTCATTCTAGGTCCAACACCCATTATTCATCTGGGAGTCTGTAGGTGTGAAAGAAAGTCCAGTTAATTATTTTTTAGGTATCGCTCAACTAAAATTTTGCAGCCCTGATCTTTTGACATATTTCAAACACTTGTCCCATGCCAAGTGTCTTGTTAGTACTTAGCCTCTGAGAATTTCATTTTGTTTACCTAGAAAATAAGGGAAGAAGAGCTGATTTTATCATACACCCTGTGTCAAATATGTATATATGAACATCTCTCTGACATGCATGTATATACATATACACATACATGCCTGATATTTACTATTATTCTCTTTTCTTAATTATTCTTTGTTTTTGTATTAACTAAACATTTAGTTTTTAAGGGCTGAAATTATTACCACTTCCTCGGAATTACATTCAATTTCTAAAGGAAATGTGGGACTCATAAAACTCCTAAATATGGCAAGTAGTGAGGCTTCAGTTCACGAATAGCTATCATGGGGATTCCACATTATGTACATGAAAACTGTGTTATTCTCCATTTTTATATTTATCAGGATTTTTGTCAACAAAAATGTTTGTAATTCTTATAACTATCCAAGACAATAACTGCTCTCCTATCTAATTGTACAATCTGCTATCATCACTTTAACTGTACCCTATGTTTGTACTATTCTGGAGGGTATGATATTGTCATAAGGGGAAAAAGCATATTTCACTGCATGTATTTAATTTTAATTGTTTAATGCTAGAAAAGCCAACACATCATTTCCTTTTCTATCTCCCTGGAATTACGTGTGCATCCACATTTATGAATTCATACATCTTCTCTACCTTCTGTGAAAAATGGGAAGAGTAAAAGCTGCCAATATTATAATAATCAGCCTCTTTTAAACAAAGTGTTATACACATAGCTAGATATGTTTGGGCTTTGTTTGAAAAAATTTAGATTATTATCTGACTCACTTGATTTAGATTTAACCTTGTTTTAGACTCTTGCTTATATAAAATTGAAAATAATGTGAAATCTGGAAACAATGAAAGTTCATCTTGTAAGTGATAAAGGACATCACTGATGTTTCAATTGCTTCTCCCCCACTGTTAGAGAAATAGGGTTGGGTACCTACTATTCTATCTCTGATTGGTGTGAGTAACGAAAGCTTAGAATTATTTAGCATACAGAACCTTAATGGTGCAGTTCAGGATTTATTATGTAAAATGTTATCTTAAAATACTATACTTTAAAAGAGTTTGCTTTAATAGGTGAAAGGGAAAAAAAGCTAAGCTTTAAAAGTATTTTGTTTGAAAATACACAGTCCTGTCTCAGACATAAGTGGATTTTTAAAAATTTCTTTTAAAACGTGCAACTTTAAATATTATCCAGTAAAATTTCCTTTCCAGCTGAGATTTTCAGGAAAGCAGAATGAGGAAACATAATATGGCTTAATCCTTTTTCTTTTCTAAGGCAACTGTCTTAGTCTGTTCAGGCTGTTGTAACAAAATACCACAGACTGGGCAGCTTATAAACAACAGACACTTATTTCTCACAGAGTCAGAGGCTGGAAATCCAAATTAAGGCACTGGAAGATTCAGTGTCTGGAGAGGGCTTGTATCCTGGGTTGTAGAGGGCATTTTCTCTTCTCACTGAATCCTCACAGCGGAAGGAGACAAGGCAACTCTAGGGGTGTCTTCTATAATGATACTAATACCATTCGTTCTTTTATGATCTACTTACATCATCACTTGGTGAGTAGGCTTCGATCTATGAACTTTGGAGATACACAAACCTTCAGACCAGAGCATCAGCATTAACCACATCTGCCTAATTTTCAAGAGGCTCCATTTATTGTTAACATTATATTATCCCCTTTCTCCTCTCTTAGCAGTCCTCGAGGATCCAAGTGGCATTGTTTGTTTGTTTGTTTGTTTGTTTAATTTTACTTTGAGTTCTGGGATACATGTGCAGAATGTGCAGGTTTGTCACATAGGTGTACAAGTGCCATGGTGGTTTGCTGCATGCACCCATCAACCCAAAGCTTCCATAAACTACATGTGGCTGCTTTTGAAATGTGTTGCGTTTTTCTACCTTTGATTTTGATGAAAACGCCAGCCATTGCTCTAATGTGCTCCATAATTATAATTTGTTTAATTATGATAAGCTTACAAAGTAGGACTTACGGTTATCCCAGTTTCACATGACAAAACTGAGATTCAGGAAGTGAGGTGACTTGTCTAAGGTTAAAACAGCTAATAAATGGTGAAGCCCCATTTGAGCCCAGGTCATCTGGCTTCAGCCCCTGAGTGAGTTCTTGGTTATCTGTAGCGTAGGTTTTCTCACTAGGTGCAATTACTATCTCTCCACTCATTTGTACTATCAATTTTCTCTTTTCTTCCAAAAAGAATCTACAGGCAAATATATTTCTTACAGATGATTAAATCGCTCTTCCTTTTCTGTGATTCTTTTTAATGTCATGTATAATTATAAATAATGGTTTTTATTTGATAAGCAGACCTGAGTTTTTGGCTTGGGCAATTTGCTGAGTGATGGATCTGTTGATTCTCCTCACGGCTAAACTACACTAGGTCTTTCCCAGAGCTCCATTTCTCCTTGGCATCCCATGCCCAACCAGCCTGTTGTTCTACTAAGTCACTTTGCTTCTGAATTCTATTCTTGCTCAGTTAATGTCCCTGTGATTAACTTTCAGTCAAATGTTTTCTTGAGGCCTTTTATTTCTTCTAGTCACTGGAGGAAAACATGACATTTTAAGGTAACTTTCACCAGACTAAGCCTCAGGGAACAATGTAGATTCTGAAGCTGAGAACTAAGGCTTTGATTTGTTCTCTGAAAACAGAAAGTATGCTGAAGTCTACTTTTGCCAGGAGTGAGTGCTCAATATGGGTTTAGTACATTTTCGAATTCAAATATTAACCCTTCCAAAGGAAGTCATATTTACTTATGTATAAAATGAATGCAATGTGCAGTTGTAGAGCATATAAGAAGAGGAAAAGAGGCCGGGCACGGTGGCTCACTCCTGTAATCCCAGCACTTTGGGATGCCGAGGCAGGCGGATCACAAGGTCAGGAGATGGAGACCATCCTGGTTAACGTGGTGAAAGCCCGTCTCTACTAAAAATACAAAAAATTAGCCAGGCATGGTGGCGGGCGCCTGTAGTCGCAGCTACTCGGGAGGCTGAGGCAGGAGAATGGCGTGAACCCGGGAGGAGGAGCTTGCAGTGAGCCGAGATCGCGCCACTGCACTCCAGCCTGGGGGCCTGGGGGACAGAGTGAGACTCCGTCTCAAAAACAAAAACAAAAAAAAAGAAAAAAAGGAGGAAAAGAATCCAGAGAGCTATATTTTAAAATAAATGTAAAGCAAACTGATATGCTAATCTGGATTCTGCAGAACCAGAAGTATAAGAGAGGTAGATACTAAGACCCAAAAAGAATAAAATGATAGTACAGTAGAATGTGGAATTACAGTGTCAAGGATAGGCCTACACTTAGACAAAGCCAGACCTAGATTATGGCCAAAATTTGGCTCATAAGCCTGAGCTATTGTTTAGACTGTATTAAAAGTCTCAAATTAAACATAGAATATCAGAGAAATGGCAGTGAATCTTTGCACTAAGCTTGTAAGTTACACAATACTTCAAAGCTATCCTTTAAAAACATCCTTGTCACAGTAGACAAAGTTATAAGGACTCATGACATTACACAAGTTCCAGAAAACAAGAATTGATGGCAGAAAATGCTCTTTCGTGGCCAGCAGCTATGAATTCCAAAAAGATACCAACTAGCAGCTCTTTTACCTAAAAGGGCCAAGGCTGGGGAGAAAATATGGCGCCAAGGTGTCTGTAGGATGATAATTTACAGTTGTAAGATGACAACCTGGCAGTACTTTTGGCATCACAGGGAAAATAAGCACCCAGGGGCTGATGATTTGGTATCATCTTTGTGGGCACCAACAGTCTGGCTATCAGAATCCCACCATCTCAGAGACAGGAAGTTACATGACGGGCTCCAGTAACATCACCCACCCTGATGACACAGTTACAAAGGAGAGTAGAGTCTATTAGGGAACGGAGTGTGTCTCAAGCCTGGGGTCTGCCACTTCTGGCTCTGTGACCTTAAGCAGGCCACATGATTTATTTTCTGTAAAATTGGAATGTAAGAGGACACTTTAGAAGATTTGTATAAGCAATAGGTAAAGTGTGCATGCTATTATGCTTAGAATAGTGTCAGGAGTATAAGTATAAAAGCAAATATGTTTTATTTTCATTATAAAGAATAAGCTTAGGGAAGGTTCTAGGCATAAGCTGAGTTGGAACATAGGGACTAAGAGCAGCTGATAAGCTTAAGAATTCAGGATTCCTTGGTCCAATGCAAGAGGAAAGGAGTGAAAAAGATATTAGAGGGTAAAAGATAGGGGATCCACAAATTGGCAGAAGCCAGAGCCCTCTGTGAGTATTATAACCAATAAGAAATTTACAGTGGGTACTTTTTTCTGTAGTAATAGGAATGCTATATAAGACTTTCTGGTTGTTAAGGTCATTTAATATAATTCTTCTGGTGTTCTCCCAAATAGTTATCTGGATAACAAAGCCAGATATCCACACAAAGGCCTTCCTGGTGTGTGTGTGTGTGTGTATGTGTATGTGTGTATAAATTAAAGAAAGACAGGGATTCCATGTTAGAATTGATAGATAAAATGGAAATGTTGCACACCCGAGACTGAAAAGAGAGAAAAAAATAATGTATCCCAGTAAGTAGTTTAGAGACATTAGAGAGTTTGAGATTCTAAAACACCAGGGAATATGCAGAAAATTTGGCAAAGGTATTACATGTCAACATTATTTAGATCTGAAACACAGCAAGGTGAATCTAGCTAATATCTGTGCTAAAATTAATTCAACAAATATTTATTAAGAGCATCCTCTATGCTTGACATTTTGTTTATCTTGGTAATAAAAATATCTGTAAACGAATTTTGTTATCAATACTTTTTCATGCATGACAGAGGCAGGCAAGTAAACATTAAGAATAAAATACAATATGAAAAGATGAAAGAGGATTTAATCTGCCTAATGCAGTCAATTAGACCTCCTAGACCAGATGATAAAATGGTTGACCTTTTACCTGAAACATAGACAACTCTCTCAGATGAGTAAGAGAACAAAAGGGATTGAAGCACAAAGGCAATTGAAAAGGTGCCATTCTAGAAATGGCAAAGGATAGAAAGATGGTAGGAAGGTGGGAAGAAATGAGATTCCACACTCTTGGCAAGCGTGAGGATTGTTTTTCATGCATGATGAAGCCTGAGAATCGTAGTCTTAGCACAATTCTATGTGCAACTCCATTGCTGTCACTCACTGGCTTGTCTGGAAAATGGGTGCAACAGGAGTTGCAGAGCTGAGACATGAAGAATAAGTGCCATGATCAGATTTGCCTATCTGAAAGATCACTGTGAGGTTAGAATAACACAAGTGGTAAGGAAGCCGGTGACAGGAGTAGGTGACAGAAATTGTCCATTATGAGAGCTTCAATGAGAAGAACATTTATGTGTTTGTTTAAACTTTCAACACATTTTATTTATGATTGGTCCATATAAGATGTTGTTAGAATGGAAAAAAAAAAGGCTTATTTTACATGATTTGAAGAAAATTCTAAAGCCATCCACTTATTTATTAATTATATATTAATTTATTTATGGTTTTCTTAATGCTTATTACAAAGCTCATAAAATGTAATTTGGGAGATATTTTTTAAGGCTTCTATTATCCAGGGAATAATTTCCAGTTACTGTTATTAAAAATAATATGTTTATGTGTAATAGCAGCCAACATTTAGTGAATTCTAACAAATTACGTCGAGGAATAAGCTAAACTCTTTGGCAATTAATGTTAGTTATTTTATGTTATTCTCATGTAATGATAAACCATAGTATTTTTTCAAGTAATATATGACTTCTAGTTTAATGTGCTACAATCATTATATCATAAATAGAAACTCAAGAATTAACACTTAAAAAGTCAGCATTTAAGGAATGAATGGATGCTTCTGAAAATTTTGCATTCTTGGAAGAAAAATACCCTCCAAGAAAACCTAACATTTTTCCAAAAAAAAAACCATTGTTTTTAAAACTAGGATTGTAGAAAGCATAAGAGTACAAAAATCAATAGTGGTAAACCAGCAATGGAAAAGAGTGCTGCTTGGAGGACACACGCTGAGGGGGGCACTATTCGAATGGCTGGATGTCTGAATGCCTGCAATCAGGCAGCAAAGCTAAGACTCTGCACAGTTATAGGTCACAGAGAAAATGCCCTTCTCCTTATGAAGTTGAAGCCAAAAGAGAGACATCTTCAGTGGGCAAATTATAGGGGATAGGAAACAGGTCACACATACATGAAAACATCACATATGAGAGAAGTAGAATTCACTGTGTGGAAAAAGAATCAACTTTTCAATCAATTGAGGTAAGATAATTAGGGGGCGCTCTCTCTCTTTATATATATTAAACACACAAATACATGTGCGTATATATATTATATATATATAATAAAAGTAAAATAAAAATAGATTCCTACCTCATCTGATAGAAAAAAATTAAGACATAGTAAAGCAATGTGAAAAGGTAATTTGTAAATTTTAGAAGAATACATAAATAGCTTCATAGTGACAAGAAGAGGATTATTTTCAAGAAGACACAAAAAGGCAAAATCAGAATAAGAAACATCTCAGGTGGGCATGGTGGCTCATGCCTATAATCCCAGCATTTTGGGAGGCTGAGATGGGTGAATCACTTGAGGCTAGGATTTCAAGACCATCCTGACCAACATGGCAAAACCCCATCTCTATTAAAAAAAAAAAATTCAAAAAGAGAACATTTCTGAATAAGTCAACCACATTAAAAGCAAAAAAAAAATGCTATCTTCAAATTATGAAGAAAATCATAAAACAACACAAAAACTGAGAAACTACATCTGCAATGTAAAACTTAGAGGTTTCATTACTTTTGTGATCAGAACATATATATATACATTTATTTATGTTTTAAACTCCTACAAATCAATAAGAAAAATGTCATGTACCAAATAGATGACACAAGAGAAGTCACTTCAGAATAAAAACATTAGCAACCAATAAACATATATAAATGACTTTATTCTTCTTAGTAGTCAAGTTAATTCATATGAAACATGAATTGAGATAATATTTTACAACAACTAGTTTGGCAAAAATTGCAAAACTGGATAATACTCACTGGAAAAAATGTGGAGAAACCAATTTTAATACAGAGCTGAAGGGAAAGCCCCTTAGTATAATAAAATCACTTTGAAAATGGTAGTGTTTCCTGTAAATGGAACACATACAAATCCTGTGACCCACAGCTTCATTCCTAGGTATAGGTATGCTCTAGAAAAACTATGTAAATACACCTGGCCCTGTAAGACAATATTAAAGGTCTTGCTGTTATTTAAATTTTATCCACTGTAATTGCTATTTTTAAGCTACATCATTTATTTCTCAGAGAATGTAATTTATAATATGTAATTTGTATCGTTTACCATGTTATTATTTTAGTGACATTTTTCAGAATTATTTTGATTAATTTAAGCATAGAAAGAAACCCTGAATTGTAATCACATCAGTTCTGATTTAGCCATGTGTCATGTTATACACTTGTAAAAATTCAAATTATTCATACGTACCTATTCTTCCAAAACAAAATTCTTTCCTCTTTCCATACTCAAAGGAGAATTTTAACCAGAATAAATTTCTAGAAATTCATTATTATCATCTCATTATAGCAATTTCTCAATTTTTACAGTGATATCAAAAAATGATGTCATTGTAGCCAAATTACCATGTAACAACACTATGAAAACTCAGTTACACATCAATTCTGTAGAATGAAAATTAATGGTTAAATGTAGTACTAAGGAAGCTTGCTAGCAGAGCAAAAATGTAATGCTGATGTACTTTCATTCAACAACCAGTATTAGTTCTCATTTCATAATATTTACCTTAGAGATCTAAGTCACAATATTTTCCTTGAGTGAGATTTTATTGTTAAACACACCGTAATGAGAAGTGTTGACATTTTATTGAAAACCACTCTATATTGCTAATCTGCTATGAATATTGCTATGGCAGTAGGGAAAAATCTGTCAAAATGTGTTGGACTATGATCTGTCTGGATAAAAAAGAATAGCTTCTCATAGTTCAGGCTCTTACTTAATTTCCATTCCTACTTAATAGTAAAAAATGGCGCCGGGAGTAGTGGTTCATGCCTGTAATCCCAGCACTTTGGGAGGCCAAAGTGGGCGGATCACTTGAGGTCAGGAGTTCAAGTTCAGCCTGGCCAATATGGCAAAACCCCATCTCTACTAATAAAATAAAATAAAATAAAATAAATTAGCCAGGCACAGTGGCACACACCTGTAATACCAGCTACTTGGGAGGCTGAGGGACAAGAATCACTTGAACTCAAGAGACAGAGGTTGCAGTGAGCTGAGATCACAACATTGCACTACAGCCTGGGCAACAGAGCGAGACCCTGTCTCAGAAGAAAAACAAAAAAGTAAAAAATGGGTTGTGTGTTTCACCTTAGTTCTTCTCTTGCCATTCCTACTAAATAGTAAAAAATGGCTTTTCTGTTTCATCCTGTTCTTCTCCTCTTTGACTCCTTGATTCATCCTTTGGGTTCCTTCCTCCTGGAATCCTTTTTTGTCAGCGTTAATGTCTGACTTCTGATGTGTACTCATTTTGTTGCTGTCCTCTTTCTGCATGATCTTTCTCATAGTTGGTAACTATATGTTTTAGTTTCCCAGGAATCTAGAAGTGTCCTATAAGTGGGTCCAAGTTTGTTCGTTATTATTCTTTTTCTACATATATTTAACTTGCAATGTCATCCACATGACATTGAGTTAATCGCTTAAATCATAGTTTGCATTTCTTTATGAAAATTTAGGCAGTTGAGCAAGATAAAGTATGAGATCGCATACAATTTAAATCCATTTACAGATTTTCAACAGTTTACTAATTCTACACGGACTTTAAGAAACTGAAAAGCTGAGATAATTTATTTATTTGGGAAACATGGGTAAGTTATGTCAAGTTTGCAAATAGTTTTCCTTATTTTATATGGCCAATAAATTGATTCATTCACCTGTGCATGTCACTGTGTACAACAGACGCAGTCTCTGCCCTCAGATTTTACAGTTGAGAGTGGAATAAAAAGCTCCAAATACAAATAAGTTCAAGTTTGTTGAGTGGAATGTCTAATTTGTTTTAAAAAATCAAGTATTTTATTCAAAGGTGGTGCTCTTGCTTTCTGCTGAAGTCGTGCCTAATTCCATGAAGAAGTATCTAAGATGTGTTTAGAAGAACAGAAAGACTATAAAACAGTCAAGAAGACCCAAGATAACATTAAAAGTAGAGAAAGTAGTCTAGTCAAAGCAAGCAGAAATGGGTTTAGGTACTGACTGGTAAGCCAGTTGGAATGGCTAGGGATGAAAGTATGAAACAGATAAGGACTCTAATGTGTGAGGCAGTTCATTTCATCCCCAGACATGTTACCTTAGGTGGTGAATGTCTGCAACTTACAAGGAAGGAAAGCAAGTTTTCATTGTTCATACCCATCCCACACTTTTCATTTCTACTGATACACCATTCAACGGGGCTTCTCTGCTCTTAATTCCTACTGAACACAGTTATGCTCTGTTTCTCAGTGATATGTAAGTGCCAAAAAAGGGAGGAGGGATTAAGTAACACTAGGGAATGTGGGCAATGTTACCAAATTTTGTTACCTTCTATTCCATACAGTAAAAAATTATTGAGGTCTATATAAATGCTATAAAAAATAAAATTATAAATACTAAAACTCAAAATACAAACAAAACTTCCACAAAAAAAAACCAACAGTATCTCAAGACGTTCACAGCCTCCTAGAAGAAATAGCTCTGTGAGCATGATCATGATGCAAGTGATAAGTACTGAAACAATGGGGGTGCGTGGCCACAATAACCATTGGGACTTAAAGAAATTAAGACATTTGGCCGGGTGCGGTGGCTCACGCCTATAACCACTGGGAGGCCGAGGAGGGTGGATCACCTGAGGTCAGGAGTTCAGGAGCAGCCTGGCCAACATGGTGAAACCATGTCTCTACTAAAAATACAAAAATTAGCCAGGCATGTTCGCACATGCCTGTAATCCCAGCTACTCGGGAAGCTGAGGCAGGACAATCGCTTGAACCCAGGAGGCAGAGGTTGCAGTGAGCTGAGACCGTGCTATTGCACTCCAGCCTGAGTGACAGAACGAGACTCCATCTCAAAAAAAAAAAAAAAAAACACAACAGATATCAAGACATTTAAATATATTTTTAATTCTGATTTATAATTCAGTCTTTAAAAATCTGCTATACAATGGAATTTCATTTTATTAAAATTCTGGCCAAAATAACCTTTGGCTCAGAATTGGTCATTACTTAAAATAAATGCAAAAAAAAAAAAAAGGAAGCTGATTCATTACAAAGTCAAATTAAAATATATCATAATCATTTGTCAGTATAAGATTGAGAGTTAGTTTTCTTTTAGGCTAGAGTTTTTAACAGAAAAGTCATATTTTTGATGCTGAACCTGTTTCACTGACATAATGGAAGGAAATTTTTGCACTGCTTTCCATTTATTTGAGCATTTCTCCATTCATCCATTCCCCAAATATATTGAGTATCCACCGTGTGTGATGCACCATCTTTCATCCTAAGATTAATGAAACAGTGTATACACAGCACATGTTTCAGAAAACTGTAATTTTCATATGAAATATTCGGCAAAATTTTAGTTTCATTAAATTATTTATTTTAATAATTCAAGCAAACAAAATCCAAAGCTGTTCTAGTTATTGATATGCTTTGTTTAAAATCACATAAAATAACGTGGGGTAATTACTTTGTCTTATTTCCTGTTAATAAGTAATTTATTGAGTGTTAGGTGCCAATGTTCTAGGTACTTTTCGTATTTAGACTCATTTAATGCTCAAATCCTCTTTGAAACAGGTCTATAGTTATCAGGATTTTACAGATGAAGAAAGTAGAGTTACAAGCATTTAGTTTGCTTGTGTCATACAACACAGCTGATCAGTATTAAGCTGTGCTAAATCCCAACCACTCTGAGCTGGACACAGCTCTTTGGATTCTGCTGCATTCAAGTATTTTGCACTCAAAAATATTTGCAGGACCAGCCTGGGTAACATGGCAGGATCCATCTCTACAAAAAAGACAAAAACTAACCAGGCATAGTGGTGCGTGCCTATAGTCCCAGTTACTCTGGAGGCTGAGTTGGGAGGATCCCCTGAACCCAGGAAGTCAAGGCTACGGTGATCCTGTCACTGCATTCCAGCCTGAGTGACAGAGCAAGACTCTGTCTCAAAAAAAAAAAAAAAAATTACTGTTTACTCCTTGTTTCCAACATGTCTTTCGGTGAAAGGGGTACTCATTAAATTCCTAACGTGTGGCCAGCTCGGTGCTACGCCTGTCACAAAAACTCATTGCAACCCCTCCATCCAGCTTCCCCAAGTGCCGTGAGCTAAACCGGGATTGTTCCAGGACGGTGAGTTTTCATCTCCCAAACAAACGGTCAGCGTCTCTTGCTTTGAACCTTTGTGTGTCTCTCTATTTGCTCTCTAGCTATAGTGAAGTAAAAATTCACAACCACCACAAGACTTTCTTTATGTTTTTTATTTTATTATTTTTTAATGAACATGTCGCCTCACACTTTTGTGTTTATCTTAAAATGGCCCTAATATACAACTTCTTTACTAGGTCTCATTATATATACACTGAAGGTTATTTTTCCTGGAGAGAGACAAATAAGAATAATTAGAAATGAGGTCAACTAAATTGTAGTCTATGCAACATAAAATCTTCCATGTTTTTTCCTCCCTAACAAAATACTATTCAAAATGCAAGTGTGTCTGTAACCTCAGAGATTAATAATTTTTTTTCTTTGATTGTTTGTTGTGGTTGCTTTTATTCAAGTAATGAAAACAGAACAAAGCTGCCTATGTTCAAACAGCAGTGATTTCATAGTCTTTACAGATATTGTCTGAATCTAATTGGATTTTAATGAAATGATATTTCCTTTGTGATAAGTACATAAAAATTATGTTTTTAATTAACATCACAAGGTATAAGCTATAGATACCAAGTTTCAACAGAAGTAATATTACTTTAATGTTTTCTTCATTTTAAAAAAAGACAGAAGTAGTAACAACTACTAGGAAAAATGAGTGAATCAAATGGGCAATGATTAGTGATTGGGCCTTCTTATCCTAGAATTTTGACACATTGGTAATGTCCATTTCCTTTTACATTAAAAATCTTATTAGTTGGTTTTGTTTTGAAAGACTTTCTAAAGTTTTTGTTTCATCTTTGTTATTCAGTTTTGACAGTGTTTGCATAGGATTGCAAATAAGCTCAGTTCACACTTTAATAAAATCATTTCAAGCAATGTTCATTATTTGTATTGAACCCTAAAAAGAAAGCAAAACGAATTTGTAACACAGGAAAGGATATTTGTGAAATGTACCCCATTTTTCACATGAAATGTTACCTATTAGACTCAGAAAAGGATTATTTGATTCCCAGGAAACATATGTGAGGAGGGATTGGTATTTAGAAGACACAGGAGTAAATAGGAAAAGAGATTTGTCTGTATAGTTTCAAAAATGACATTAAAAAAACCTGTGAAGGGAAACAAAAAACAAATTGTAGCAAATCAAGCTCTGTCAGTCCTGTTGACCTGTCAACTTAAGATAGATTGTGCTGCTTCTGTTAGTTATTAATTATATTTCCATTACCTATCGGTAACTTGTATTAGAGATCTATACAGAGTGATCTATGCATTTGGTTGCTTACTAATTAACAAACTGATCATACTGCTTTATGATAATTGATTATAGACTTCTTTTCAAATTTTACCTCTTTTCATTGTATGTATGTGTATTTTATTAATAATTTTCAAAATATATTCTCGGATTTAGTTAAGCAGTAGTGCTCTTTAAAACATAAAAGTGGTTCCCGTGTAAGCGGCATATCAAAATGTGAAAGTTTCCTCATGAAAGTTGGATGAAAAGTGTGCCTCCTATTCTACAGCCCCAAACAGATGGTAGTCTGATTAACTCTTCCTGGTTTAACAATTCTTCTCACTCAGTGTCTAAACCATTTGAAGAAAACTAAGTGAACATGTGCAATCAGGACTTATCATGAGCATCCATAAGGCTAAAAGCCTAAAATTTTCAATTAAAGGAGACTTTCCAAATTTCTCAATCCAATGAGAATATTTGTGTGTTCCTTCACTAGTCACAACTAATCTACTTTAAAAGATTCTCAAATGTGAAAGAATAAAATAGATACATGACATGACTCACATTCAAACAATGCAAATCGTGAAGTTCAAAATTTTATCATTGGATATTTCAACTAAATATTTCTTCGCAAATAAGTATATTTGCACTTTAATTTTTTTCTTTAGCCTTCTTAAACAGTTGACATTCTATAAACATGCCCATGTGGTGTAAGTTATTTTGTTTGATTGTAGTTTTTTTTAAATTAAGGTATAATCTACATGAGAAAATTACACGAATCTTAAATAAACAGCTTGATTAATTTTAATGTATTTCTATATCTGTGTAACCACCTATCAGATCAAGATAGAGAATACTTCCAATAACATTGAAGGGTTCTTATTGCCTATTCTCAATTAGTAGCTCCCAAGAATAACAAGTATTCTTAGCACTATCATCATTATTAGTTTCACCTTTTGTGAAAATTCCTATAAATGGTCTAACAAATACTGTTTTTGCATCTAACCTCTGCCACTCAGCGTTGTGTCTGAGATCCGTGTGTCAATAATCTACTATTTTTCATTGCTATGCAGAGTTTCAACTTATGAACATGCTATCATCAGTTTTCCCATTCTACTTCCAATGAACACTTAGAGTATTTAAAGTTTTTGTCTATTTTGAATAAAGTTGTTTTTAATATTTTCATACAAGTTTTGTGATAGAAAGGAATACTCAACTATATGCCAGTGGAACTGTGGTTATGGAGTCATAGGGAAGCTCAAAGGGCCAGCCAGATAAGAATCATGAGGGAGAAGAAAGGGAGAATGGGAGGAAGGAGAGCAGAAGTAGAACTAAGAGAAGAAGGAAGAAGAGAAGGGAGAAAGAGGAAGAGGAAGAAGGAAGGAGAACAGGTGTCTGCAGCAGCAGCCTGCGCTGAAGGTGATGGGCAGGGTGCCACTTCCCTGCAGGAAACAGAGAACAGCTCACTGAGATGTGTGGACTAAGCTCAGGGTATCTGTGGAGGTGAAGCAGAAACACAAACCACCTGTGAAGTTAACACTCGGGGAGTGTGTCCTAAAGTCATGGGTACAAACCAGCATTACTGGCAAATGGAGATGCTCTGTGGAAGAAAACAGCCCCAATGCAGGCCTTTGCAATTCTCAGATAATAAAAAAAATGAACCTCCAATTTTTAAAAGTATAATAACAGTACCAAACCTTCAAAGAAATAAGTGACCAAAAGTAAGAATGAGAAAAAAACACAAATAACAAAAATAGAATCCTGAGGAATTCAGATATTAAAATCACTCAATATAAAAGATAAAATAACTATACATGGAATGTTTAAAATGTGGACACACAAGTTTACTATAACTTTTAAGGCAAAAATATAGTGTCTAAAAACAAATTTATACACAATACACGGGAATAGATTGCTGGTTGGAATGTAAAATGGCTCAGCCACAGAGGAATGCAGCCTCATAGCATTAGAATTAAACATGCACCCACTTCATGACCCAGCCATGCCAATTCTGTCTTTACGCCTGAGAAATGAAAACTTAATGCTCACTCAAATTCCTATTTGCCAATGTGCATAACAACTTCATAAAACTGCCAAAAAACTGGAAACAACAAAGTCATCTATCAACTGTTGTGTGGACCCCCCCCAAAAAAAAAGAAGTCTGTCCATCCAAGGGAATATTACTCAGCAATGTAAAAGAAATGGCTCTTGATAGTTCAACAACAGCTGAAGCTCAAAGGCATTACTCTAAGTGAAAAGTTTCCCTCAAAAGTGTAAAAACTGGACAAGTCCATAATATGAAAAGCTAAAAAAGGCAAAGTTACAGAGACACAAAACAGATTGACATCAACAGGGGCTGAGGCTGGGGAGAGGGTCAGAGAAAATTTCTTTAAATAGTTATGAAAACATTTAATATTTATATTATGGTGGTGGCTGCAATTGTGGAACACAATTTGTGTATTTTTCATAGAAATAACATAGATTTTAACATAAATGAATTAAAACAGGAGAAGTATTACCATCATAATACATATAACCAAATCATTTGATATTTTTCAACATGTACTCGTGATATAAACATTTATCATAAAGGCCTGTAGGGAAACTTCCTTCACTTAATGAAAGTATCTTATAAAAAATAAAGTATAAAATAAAGTCATATACAGCAATGACTGTAAATGTGGAAATATTAGAAGCATTCTCTTTAAAAAAAAGACTCTTTAAAAGAATAAGAAACATTGAGAGCACAAAAAGGCAAGCCACAGACTCGGAGAAAATATTTGCATATGACATATCTGATAGAGTTTTGTTATTCATAATATATGAAGAATTAAAATTGAACAATAAGAAAACTACCTGTTTAAAAAATGGACCAAAGCCTACAGAATGGAAGAAAATTTTTGTAAACTATGCATCTGACAAAGGTCTAATATTTAGCTTCTATATGGAACTTAAAGAAATTTACAAGAAAAAGCAAACGATCTCATTAGCAGGTGGGCAAAGGACATGAACAGACACTTTTCTAAGGAAGATGTACATGTGGCCAAAAGTCATATGATAAAAAGCTCAGCAACCCTGATCATTAGAGAAATGCAAATCAAAACCACAATGACATACCATCTAACACCAGTCAGAATGACTATTATTAAAAAGTAAAAAAATAACAGATGCTGGTGAGATTGAAAAGGAAACACTTATACATGGTCAACCATTTTGGAAGACAGTGTGGTGATTCCTCAAAGGCCTAAAAACAAAAATACCATTTGACCCAGCACTCTCATTACTGGGTGTATATGCAAAGGAATATCAGTCGTTCTGTCATAAATACACATACATTCATATGTTTATTGCAGCACTATTCACAGCAGCAGAGATATGAAATCAACCTAGGTACCCATCAATGGTAGAGTAGACAAAGAAAATGTGGTCCGTATACACTATGGAATACTATGTGGTCACAAAAAAGACAAGATTATGTCCTTTGCAGGAACATGGATGGAGCTGGAGGCCATTATCCTTAGCAAACTAACGCAGGAACAGAAAATGAAATACTGCATTTTCTCACTTATACGTGGGACCTAAATGATGAGAATGCATGGACACATAGGGGGCAGTAACACACACTGGGGCCTATCAGAGGGTGGAAGGTGGGAGGAGAGAGGTCAGGAAAAATGACTAATGGGTATTAGGCTTAATACCTGGGCGATGAAATAATCTGTACAACAAACCATCATATTACAAGTTTACCTATATAGCGAACTTGCACATGTACCCCTGAACTTAAATTAAAAAGAAACAGATAAAAACTACTGTAATACAAATAGAAAATGAAAAAATGGCCCAAGGACCTTAAAAGACACTTCGCCATAGAACATATACAAATGGCAAATAAGCATCTGAAAAGAACCTTCACATCATATTTCATCAGAGAAACACAAACTAGAAGAACACTGCAATACCTCTATCCACCTATTAAAATGCCCCAGATCTGAAACACTGACACCAGTGAATGCTGGTGAGAAGGTGGAGCAACTGGAACTCTACTTCATTGCTGGTGGAAATGCAAAGTGTACAGTCACTTTGGAAAACAGTTTGGCGGTTTCTTACAAAATTAAACATGCTTTAAACATAGAATCCAGCAACTACACTCCTTAGTATTTACCCAAAGCACTTGAAAGTGTAGGCCCTCAAAAATTCTTCACATAGGTGTTAATAGCAGGTTTATTTATAATTACTCAAACTAGAAACAGTGAAAATATCAGTAGCTGGCAAGGATTGGGGGCAGCGAAGGTTGAATAGGCAGAGTGCAGAGGATTTTTAAGGCAGTGAAAAACTCTGTATATACCATAATGATAGATCTACGTCAGTAGACATTTTTCCAGACCCGTTGAATGTACAACACCAGAAGTGAACTCGAATGTGAATTAAGGACTCTGGGTGATAATAATGTGTCACTGTAGGTTCGTCGAGTATAACAAATACACCACTCTGGTGGAGGATATTGATAGTAGGGTAGGCTGTGCAGGTCGGGGCAGGAGTTTATAGGAAATCTCTGTAACTCTTTCTCAGTTTTGCTGTGAACCAAAAATTGCTTTAAAAAATAAGGTAGAAAAGTAAAAAAAGAATAGGAAATGGGCAACCTCTTCTATTTAACATCTAAACATATGTCCTAGAAAGCAGAGGGAGAAATGGAAAGAAATGAGATGTATAAGGATTAGAAGGAATGAGGGGGAAAGTCATTATCCAGAAATTGTGCTGTAATCTACACAGATAAGCCCAAATAATACACAGATTATTATAATTAATATTAAAATATAGCTCATGAGCTCAGTACATGATCTGTAAAAAAGTATATTGTCTTGTTATATATTTGTTTTGAGAGGCAAAAGGACTTTTGCAATTCACTGCTTTAGAAATATAAAAATAGGTACACTGCTTCAAGATGAAAAGTCCAGAAAATATATTTAATTAATTGACAGATTCATCTATTTATTAATGCCATTCAAATCCAAATATTTGTAAGCCAACTTGATTATAAAATAGCAATGCAAATAGGTCCTTATATTACTCAGTTTCTCTTTGAAACATGCACGCTGTGAAGCAGGGTTGAGCTGTGATCTGTATAAGCAGCAGGCATTTATGGAGAGGAAAGAATAAGATAACTGCCTACAGACTCTGAGTCAGTATGGCCAATGCTTTCACAAATTAAATTAAATAGCTGCAAGCCTCACTTTAATATCCCTTTAAGAGTCAAAAATACCGAAGCCTAATTTTTATATGGCTGTTTTCTCAAATAAAATTTTAATCTCTTATCAATACTCATTTCTTTCTTGACAAAAATTTTTACAAGCTGTTGATGTAGCATTTCTTGGGCATAGTGTTTTCAAAGGGAAAGCGAGTTATAAAAAATGAAAAATAGCTTTGGTTAATAAAGCATGCCCAAAGCCCTGAAACATTATAAGTAAACCTATTTCCCAAAATGTTCATAAAACAAGGTGGATACAAATAATTAGAACCATATAGTGAAATACCCCACCTGTCTTGCTAATGGTAGTGATGACTACTAAAATATACCTTTGCTTAATCAGATAATGTAATGCAGAGATCAAAACCTGGTGTCAAGAAATAGATTTTAAAATGAAACTACGTCTCTTTGGAAAACAGTAAACTATGCAAAGGAATATATTGGAGGAATGCTGCTGGCATCTTAAGAGAACTAAGAGGCAATGTTATCACTCGTAAAATAACAGGAACAGCAGAAAGTTAAAGGGATTGCAAACTTCAAATAATCACTTGTTGTATGAATTGCAGAGGTGTGCATCACCAGGAAAACATTTATGCTGGGAAATCCTTTGGTTTCGTAAAATGAGTAATTTGAATTTGAACAAACCACTTTTTGAGGATTTTGGAATGGATTTTATGGCTTACTTAGAATCATCACTCATGATTTGTGATTTTGAAAGAGGCCCTGAAACTCCTTGGCTTGATATCCATGGTCTTCCATTTTCAAATTCAACTCAACCTGTTTGTTCCACCTCTCAGTTTCTCTGAATTAGCTCTTATTCCTCAATGGTTGTGTTGATTTTTCTCCTTAGAGCTGGAACATACTGTTCCAATTTCTGATCGGATTTTGCCTTCAAAGTTTCAGGCAAGGTCAAGTTCTACTCCTTGTTGTCTTTTCACCGACTTTTTATGTTCTCCCTACATGCAAAATATATTGATGACCTACTATCCACAAAGCACTGTCCTGGACCCTGGGGAGACAGCCTTAGTCAAAAGAGAGATAATTCCTATTTTAAGTATCATATTGGCTAGTGGAAGAGAAAACGAACACATAAACAAAAATATCTGCATAACAGGTCAGCGGAGGAGAGCATGGGGAAAAGTAAAGCAGGAGATGAGATGGGAGGTATGGGAAGCTCTGCCCTGTAGAGTCTTTGGGGCCATTATAAAGACTTTGGCCATTGGGCATCCCTTATTACACATTTTTAAAAATTGCTGACAGAATTTCTCATAATTCAATTACTTCATTTTCCTTATTTCCCTCTAACATTTAATTGCACACAATAGATTCATGAGGTCTAATAAGTTTGAGATAACTCCAAAAGTATTACAAATGACAAAGACTGAATAACATGATTGACTTCTCAGAAATTCAAACCAAAATGATAAAATATAATTTCCAATTATTAAATTAGCTAGGATGTTTTCATTAGAGAGATCCTAGGTTTGAATAGTAACCAATGAAAAAAATAATGTGTGCATTTGGGGTAGGAATATGGATTGATACAGCCTTTCTAAAGTGGAAATTATTTTTAAAGGAAGCAATATTCTTTTTCTAAAAAAATTTATAAACTGTTCCAAACTTTTATTCGCTTTGAATCCTTTCTAGGCATACAATGTAGGCTAGGGTTTATCACACAAGATATTTATTACTGATTATTTAATGAAAAAAATTGGGAAACTAAATGGCTGTAGTCAGTTAAATAATTACTTAAAGAGGAAATTAAATAATAAGCATCCTCTAGATATGTCAATTCTGATTCAAAGAAAATAAAAAAGACCTTCTGAAGGAAACTAAAATACAATGTTAATAGAAATTATTAAGAAATCATCTTACACCTCCCTAGATGAGAGAACTGGAGTTGAAAACATGGCCATCCAACTAGACACCACTTTCCAGTAAGCTTTGCAAGCAAGGTGTTGCTATATGACCAACTTCTGGCCAATGATTTGTGAATGGAAGTGATCATTGACGCTTCTCTTAACAGGAATCAACCTATCTTTTCCCTGTTCTTTCCTCTCGTCCTGCTTCCTGAAATGAACACCTCCTGGCATAGAGTGTGAAATAATAGACAATGGAGACTTGGAAGGGTCTGAGAGTGGGAGGGTGCAGATGAAAGGAAATTGTTTAATGGCTACAATGTATGTTATTCAGGTGACTGATACACTAAAAGCCATGTAACAAAATTAAACTTGTTGACTTTTTAAAAAATCTTTTAATTAACACATAATAGTTGTGTTATGTGTTATGTGTTGTGTTATGTGTTATGGAGTACATGGTGACGTTGCAATACATATAGTGCATATGTACAATACATATAGTACAATCAGCACAGGGTGATTAGCATATCTATCATCTCCAACACTGATTATTTATTTGTGTTGGGAGCATTTAATATCTTCCTTCTAACTAGTTGAAACTATAAAACATGTACAATATCATGATGCCTATAGAGAAACAATATAATCCAAAGGAAAGGA